>NC_000005.10:175911769-176062215 GCF_000001405.40 Homo sapiens | reverse complement strand
CAGGCCTGAGCCACCGCGCCCGGCCGACTCACGGTATTTTTTGATAGAGGAATGAGTTCTCTCATTAGGCACCTCCTATAATGTGTATAACACCATGTTTTAAACGTGTAGGTTAAAAATAACACTGTGTATGCTTAGCTTGGTGAGTTAAATCACTCACATTCTCCACCAAGCGCTCCAGCTGGGGAATTATGGGGGATGCAGAGCAGCTGAGGCTCCGTTTGGCACCACCCCTCTGAGGGTGCCCTCCGAGGCCCCATCCCAGGGGCTGCGGGGAAGCCGGGCCTGGGGACCCCCTCCCACCCTGGGCTGAGCCCCCACCCCACTGCCTGTGCTGCCTGTCCCCGGCTTCCAGGTCTCTGCTCCTGCGCTCCAGGCAGCGCTCCACTTCCGCGGCTTCGCCCTTGACAGCGCCCTGTGGATCTTCCGATTCGGTACCCCGAACCCCTGTAGACGTGGCCTAGGGAGCCCCGGACCGCCGGCCCCTGCGGCTCCCAAAGCCGAAGAACTTCTTCAAGGTGGTGAGTTCTTCTCAGACCCCCAACCACTGGCTCCTGAGCCGCGGCAGCTCCGTGTCACCTTTTCACTCCCCCTCGCCCCACACCCAGCCCCAAATCCCCAATCCAACTCCAAATCCCCTATCCAACCCCCAATCCGCGATCCAACCTCCAATCCGCGATCCAAACCCCAATCCGCGATCCAACCCCCAATCCGCGATCCAACCCCCAATCCGCGATCCAACTCCCAATCCGCGATCCAACCCCCAATCCGCGATCCAACCCCCAATCCGCGATCCAACCCCCAATCCGCGATCCAACCCCCAATCCGTGATCCAACTCAAAATCCCCGATCCAAATCCCAATCCGCGATACCAAGTCTGCGATCTAGCCCAGAATCCGCGATCCCGCCTGGTCCACCCTTCAGCAGCGACACTGGCGGCCTCCGACCTCTCAGACCTAGTGAGCCTCGCAAAGCCGCCCGGCTCCCGGAAGCCGCAGGTGCAGGCGCCGCTGGGCTCGCGGGTTCTCCTGGCTGGCCCGGGCTGCCCCAGGACCACGGACGGAAAATCGCAGGCGCGCGGCCCACCCCGCCTTAAGGGGAGGGCCCGCCTGGCCGTGTAGCCCGCCCCGCTCCTCCTTCCGAAGAGAGATCTGGTGCTGGCATGGGCACCCCGCGGCCACCGGAGTGGCTTCCCGGATGAGCCTGGCTTCGGCGCTGACGCTCTGGCCCTGGGGGCTGCCTGGCTGGTGTCAGGTAGCGGAAGACGCCTGGAGAGTCACTCGCTCCTTCCCCCACCCGCCCCCACCGCTGCTCGTGCCAGGACGCGCAGTTTGCAGTTGCAGCTCAGGCACTGGCGCGGGATGGCGGAGCTTCCCTTGGATGGCGTCAGGGTCACCGAGTGCACAGCCTACCTGGTCTGAGGGTCTGCTCCTCCTGGACACCTCTCCGGATCCTGATCCCTGGCGCTGGGCAATCCACAGGATGAGACTCATCGGCTGCTGGCGAAGCCGACCGCCTGACTTTGCTGCCTGGGCGGCTGGCCCCGGGATCCGCGCTGCTGGGGACGCGGGCCTGGTCTGCGGTGTCCAGCCACTTGCTGCGGGCGCGCCACGTCTAGGCTGGTGGCTGCAGCCGCAGCTCCGCGCCTGCGGGGGCTAGTGGGCCTGGTACCTGATGTCCTCAGGGTCAAGTGCATCGCTCACCCACCTGAGGGTCTGCTCTGCCTTGACCTCCTCCAAGAGCGCAGGGGCCACCGGGGAGGCAATTTAGGAATGCCTAAATGGAAGGAACTATCCTTTCTCTGTCTTTAAGAAATAAGTGGCTTTTGTTGTTGTTTTTGTGATACCCAGCTACAGCAGAAAGCAAAGGGGATGCAGAGGTGAAGGTCCACAGCCAGTTCCTCTACTGATTCCCTCCAGGCATAAATGTTCAATCTAACGGCTTTGGTTGGCACTTTCACCTCAGCACTTACCTATGCCTACAGGTTTGTTCAATGGCAACTCTTGGATTTTGAATTAATACCCAATTATTTCATATTTTAATACCCAAACTATTTTAATAGTTTACCATATCTGCAATCCTGAATTAATTTTTTCTTTGTTTATAAAACAATCACTATAGTAAGATAAAAATCACAAAACACTTCCACATTTCATTGGGCTAAAAAAGCATTAAAACATTATACGTAAAAGATAAAAAATACATTGTTTCATCATAAAAATTATGGCTTTGCAAAATTTTTTTACCTTTAGCTACATTCTTACGATTCTTTAACTTTTCACTGTTATTTTATACATTTTTAAAACAATGCATACCAGTGTTTAAAAAACAAATGCAGCACTTCATCTAGGACTGAACATATAACGCTGGTCAGCTCTTTCAGCATGGTGCAGGTGTGGGCCTCAGGCTGCTTTCTGTTTACATGTATCAAATGACATGACCATCTTAACTGCACAGATACCATCTTCTCGGCTTCTTTCTTCTCCCCCAAAACTATTTAATGTTGCTTTAATGGCAACATCAATTTAACTAGTTTTGTAATTTCTGTATTTAATTGTCACATAACATTATATCCGTTCTTTTTTTTTTTTTAAAAAAAGGAAAGCATACAATCTTAGTTGCTAGGCCAGTTCTTCTGAATCAATTTGAAATCACCTTTTTTCTCTTTCATAATAACTACTTATTTTAATCAACAAGTCAACTATTATTAGATATTAACTTATTTTTTCTAGTTAAAATTTTGCTATCTTTCAAATAATTCCAACTCTTACACACACATTTAATGTACATAACTGTAACATATACATACATAAGCACAGGTTAAGCCAGATCTAACATGAATTTAGATATGCCAAGAAAGCCACATGACCATTATTTACATAAATATGACCAGTGTTCACATTTATCAAGGCCAATGAATATTAAGGTGATTGCTTCAATAAGAAATTAGGTGAAGAATTATTTGTTGAATATTGTCAAACACTTTTTTAACCTGTTAAAGTTATTTAAGCCCGACCCAAATAATTTTTAAACTTTTTATTCTATCATGCCTATAGACAGCTTCATATATTAACCATTTCTGCTTTCGTGGTCCTTTGAGAATGGTATCTTAGTATGTAAGTGCAATAAATAAACAACTTTTAAAAGAATAAAGAAAATTGATATAAATTAGTCTGGAAAATCTAGTCTGTAGCTGGGCAGCCAGGTGCCCCCAGCTAAACCTCAAGGGATGGTTCTGTTAAAGTGAAGAAAAGAAGAATAGTGTGTAACAGAAGCCCGCTCTGTGGCTCCAGGTTACAGCTGTGGCCACCCAATCTGCCTTGTGCCTCCTTCTTCTCACACAGGACACACTCATCCCAGCCCCAAGCAAGAAAGACCAAAGTCCCTTGCCAGGCGCGGTGACTCACGCCTGTAATCCCAGCACTTTGGGAGGCCGAGGCGGGTGGATCACGAGGTCAGGGGATCGAAACCATCCTGGCTAACACGGTGAAACCCCGTCTCAACTAAAAATACAAAAAATTAGCCAGGCGTGGTGGTGGGCACCTGTAGTCCCAGCAGCTACTCTGGAGGCTGAGGCAGGAAAATGGCGTGAACCCGGGAGGCGCAGTTTGCAGTGAGCCGAGATCACGCCACTGCACTCCAGCCTGGGGAACAGAACAAGACTCTCTCTCAAAAAAAAAAAAAAAAAAAAAAAAAGAAAGACCAAAGGCCCCTTCCGTTACTGTATCCAACCCACAGTGCAGGTCCTGTGGGCCATGTGCTATGCATCCCACCTGCATTCCACCTGGTTCACAAGTGGCTCCTTGATGTCCAGTGACCTATGAAAAATCATTTGTTAGGCCGGACGTGGTGGTTCATGCCTGTAATCTAGCACTTTGGGAGGACAATGTGGGCGGATCACCTGAGGTCAGGAGTTTGAGACCAGCCTGGCCAACATGGTGAAACCTGTCTCTACTAAAAATACAAAAATTAGCTGAGTATGGTGGTGGGTGCCGTAATCCCAGCTACTTGGGAGACTGAGGGAGAAGAATCGCTTTAAGCTGGGAGGTGGAGGTTGCAGTGAACCGCTATTAAACTCCACTATTCTTTATTGGGCACAACCCAGGAGGTCAACAAATGTATTTTCCTGTTTTTATTTTATTTATTTATTTTGAGACAGAGTCTCACTCTTTTGCGCATCTGCACTCTAGCCCAGGTGACAAGAGTGACACTCCATCTCAAAAAAAAAGGTAATAATAATAATAATAATTATTTGTGGACCTGCTGGGTTACACCCAATAAAGAATAGTGGTGTAGAATCAAAATAGTCCCAATAAAATTTATATATATATATATTTTTATTATACTTTAAGTTCTAGGGTACATGTGCACAACGTGCAGGTTTGTTACATATGTATACATGTGCCATGTTGGTGTGCTGCACCCATTAACTCATCATTTACATTAGGTATATCTCCTAATGCTATCCCTCCCCCCACCCCACAACAGGCCCTGGTCTGCGATGCTCCCCTTCCTGTGTGCATGTGTTCTCATTGTTCAATTACCACCTATGAGTGAGAACATGCAGTGTTTGGTTTTTTGTCCTTCCGAGAGTTTGTTGAGAATGATGGTTTCCAGCTTCATCCATGTCCCTACAAAGGACATGAACTCATCATTTTTTATGGCTGCATAGTATTCCATGGTGTATATGTGCCACATTTTCTTAATCCAGTCTATCATTGTTGGACATTTGGGTTGGTTCCAAGTCTTTGCTATTGTGAATAGTGCCACAATAAACATACGTGTGCATGTCTTTATAGCAACATGACTTATAATCCTCTGGGTATATACTCAGTAATGGGATGGCTGGGTCAAATGGTATTTCTAGTTCTAGATCCCTGAGGAATCGCCACTCTCTCTTCCACAATGGTTGAACTAGTTTACAGTCCCACCAACAGTGTAAGTGTTCCTATTTCTCCACATCCTCTCCAGCACCTGTCGTTTCCTGACTTTTTAATGATCACCATTCTAACTGGTGTAAGATGGTATGTCATTGTGGTTTTGATTTGCATTTCTCTGATGGCCAGTGATGATGAGCATTTTTTCATGTGTCTGTTGGCTGCATAAATGTCTTCTTTTGAGAAGTGTCTGTTCATATCCTTCGCCTACTTTTTGATGGGGTTGTTTGATTTTTTTCTTGTAAATTTGTTTGAGTTCTTTGTAGATTCTGGGTATCAGCCCTTTAGTCAGGTGAGTAGATTGCAAAAATTTTCTCCCATTCTGTAGGTTGCCTGTTCACTCTGATGGTAGTTTTTTTGCTGTGCAGAAGGAGCTCTTTAGTTCAATTAGATCCCATTTGTCAATTTTGGCTTTTGTTGCCATTGCTTTTGGTGTTTTAGACAGGAAGTCCTTGCCCATGCCTATGTCCTGAATGGTATTGCCTAGGTTTTCTTCTAGGGTTTTTATGGTTTTAGGTCTAACATTTAAGTCTTTAATGCATCTTGAATTAATTTTTGTAAAAGGTGTAAGGAAGGGATCCAGTTTCAGCTTTCTACATATGCCTAGCCAGTTTTCCCAGCACCATTTATTATATAGGGAATCCTTTCCCCATTTCTTGTTTTTGTCAGGTTTGTCAAAGATCAGATAGTTGTAGATATGTGGCATTATTTCTGAGGGCTCTGTTCTGTTCCATTGGTCTATATCTCTGTTTTGGTACCAGTACCATGCCGTTTTGGTTACTGTAGCCTTGTAGTATAGTTTGAAGTCAGGAAGCGTGATGCCTCCAGCTTTGTTCTTTTGGCTTAGGATTGACTTGGCAATGCGGGCTCTTTTTTGGTTCCATATGAACTTTAAAGTAGTTTTTTCCAATTCAGTGAAGAAAGTCATTGGTAGCTTGATGGGGATGGCATTGAATCTATAAATTACCTTGGGCAGTATGGCCATTTTCATGATATTGATTCTTTCTACCCATGAGCATGGAATGTTCTTCCATTTGTTCGTATCCTCTTTTATTTCATTGAGCAGTGGTTTGTAGTTCTCCTTGAGGAGATCCTTCACATCCCTTGGAAGTTGGATTCCTAGGTATTTTATTCCCTTTGAAGCAACTGTGAATGGGAGTTCACTCATGATTTGGCTCTCTGTTTGTCTGTTATTGGTGTATAAGAATGCTTGTGATTTTTGTACATTGATTTTGAATCCTGAGACTTTGCTGGAGTTACTTATCAGCTTAAGGAGATTTTGGGCTGAGACGATGGGGTTTTCTAGCTATACAATCATGTCATTTGCAAACAGGGACAATTTGACTTCCTCTTTTCCTAATTGAATACCCTTTATTTCCTTCTCCTGCCTGATTGCCCTGGCCAGAACTTCCAACACTATGTTGAAGAGGAGTGGTGAGAGAGGGCATCCCTGTCTTGTGCCAGTTTTCAAAGGGAATGCTTCCAGTTTTTGCCCATTCAGTATGATATTGGCTGTGGGTTTGTCATACATAGCTCTTATTATTTTGAGATACGTCCCATCAATAACTAATTTATTGAGAGTTTTTAGCATGAAGGGCTGTTGAATTTTGCCAAAGGCCTTTTCTGCATCTATTGAGATAATCATGTGGTTTTTGTCTTTGGTTCTGTTTATATGCTGGATTACATTTATTGATTTGCGTATGTTGAACCAGCCTTGCATCCCAGGGATGAAGCCCACTTGATCGTGTTGGATAAGCTTTTTGATGTGCTGCTGGATTCGGTTTGCCAGTATTTTATTGAGGATTTCTGCATCGATGTTCATCAGGGATATGGGTCTAAAATTCTCTTTTTTTGTTGTGTCTCTGCCAGGCTTTGGTATCAGGATGATGCTGGCCTCATAAAATGAATTAGGGAGGATTCTCTCTTTTTCTATTGATTGGAATAGTTTCAGAAGGAATGGTACCAGCTCCTCCTTGTACCTCTGGTAGAATTCAGCTGTGAATCCGTCTGGTCCTGGACTTTTTTTGGTTGGTAAGCTATTAATTATTGCCTCAATTTCAGAGCCTGTTGGTCTGTTCAGATATTCAACTTCCTCCTGGTTTAGTCTTGTGAGGTTGTATGTATCAAGGACTTTATCCATTTCTAGATTTTCTAGTTTGTTTGTGTAGCAGTGTTTATAGTATTCTCTGATGGTAGTTTGTATTTCTGTGGGATCGGTGGTGATCTCCCCTTTATCATTTTTTATTGCCTCTATTTGATTCTTATCTCTTTTCTTGTTAGTCTTGCTAGCAGTCTATCAATTTTGTTGATCTTTTCAAAAAACCAGCTCCTGGATTCATTGATTTTTTGAAGGGCTTTTTGTGTCTCTGTTTCCTTCAGTTCTGCTCTGATCTTAGTTATTTCTCACCTTCTGCTAGCTTTTGAATGTGTTTCCTCTTGCTTCTGTAGTTCTTTTAATTGTGATGTTAGGGTGTTAATTTTAGATCTTTCCTGCTTTCTCTTGTGGGCATTTAGTGCTATAAATTTCCCTCTAACACACTGCTTTAAATGTGTCCCAGAGATTCTGGTATGTTGTGTCTTTGTTCTCGTTGGTTTCAAAGAAGATCTTTATTTCTGCCTTCATTTTGTTATGTAGCCAGTAGTCATTCAGGAGCAGGTTGTTCAGTTTCCATGTAGTTGAGTGGTTTTGAGTGAGTTTCTTAATCCTGAGTTCTAGTTTGATTGCACTGTGGTCTAAGAGACAGTTTGTTATAATTTCTGTTCTTTTACATTTGCTGAGGAGTGCTTTACTTCCAACTATGTGGTCAATTTTGGAATAAGTGCAATGTGGTGCTGAGAAGAACGTATATTCTGTTGATTTGGGGTGGAGAGTTCTGTAGATGTCTATTAGGTCTGCTTGGTGCAGAGCTGAGTTCAATTCCTGGATATCCTTGTTAACTTTCTGTCTCGTGGATCTGTCTAATGTTGACAGTGGGGTGTTACAGTCTCCCATTATTATTGTGTGGGAGTCTAAGTCTCTTTGTAGGTCTCTAAGGACTTGCTTTATGAATCTGGGGGCTCCTGTATTGGGTGCATATATATTTAGGTTAGTTAGCTGTTCTTGTTGAATTGATCCCTTTACCATTATGTAATGGCCTTCTTTGTCTATTTTGATCTTTGTTGGTTTAAAGTCTGTTTTATCAGAGATTAGGATTGCAACCCCTGCCTTTTTTTGTTTTCCATTTGCTTGGTAGATCTTCCTCCATCCCTTTATTCTGAGCCTATGTGTGTCTCTGCACGTGAGATGGGTTTCCTGAATATAGCACACTGATGGGTCTTGACTCTTTATCCAATTTGCCAGTCTGTGTCTTTTAATTGGAGCATTTAGCCCATTTACATTTAAGGTTAATATTGTTATGTGTGAATTTGATCCTGTCGTTATGATGTTAGCTGGTTATTTTGCTCGTTAGTTGACGCAGTTTCTTCCTAGCCTTGATGGTCTTTACAATTTGGCATGGTTTTGCAGTGGCTGGTACCGGTTGTTCCTTTCCATGTTTAGTGCTTCCTTCAGGAGCTCTTGTAGGGCAGGCCTGGTGGTGACAAAATCTCTCAGCATTTGCTTGTCTGTAAAGGATTTTATTTCTCCTTCACTTATGAAGCTTAGTTTGGCTGGATATGAAATTCTGGGTTGAAAATTCTTTTCTTTAAGAATGTTGAATATTGGCCCCCACTCTCTTCTGGCTTGTAGAGTTTCTGCCGAGAGACCAGCTGTTAGTCTGATGGGCTTCCCTTTGTGAGTAACCTGACCTTTCTCTCTGGCTGCCCTTAACATTTTTTCCTTCATTTCAGCTTTGGTGAATCTGACAATTATGTGTCTTGGAGTTACTCTTCTCGAGGAGTATCTTTGTGGCATTCTCTGTATTTCCTGAATTTGAATGTTGGCCTGCCTTGCTAGATTGGGGAAGTTCTCCTGGATAATATCCTGCAGAGTGTTTTCCAACTTGGTTCCATTCTCCCCGTCACTTTCAGGTACACCAATCAGACATAGATTTGGTCTTTTCACATAGTCCCATATTTCTTGGAGGCTTTGTTTGTTTCTTTTTATTCTTTTTTCTCTAAACTTCTCTTCTCGCTTCATTTCATTCATTTGATCTTCCATCAGTGATACCCTTTCTTCCAGTTGATCAAATCGGCTACTGAAGCTTTTGCATATGTCACGTAGTTCTCATGCCATGGTTTTCAGCTCCATCAGGTCATTTAAGGCCTTCTCTACATTGGTTATTCTAGTTAGCCATTCGTCTGAATCTTCGTTCAAGGTTTTTAACTTCTTTGTGATGGGTTTGCACTTCCTCCTTTAGCTTGGAGAAGTTTGATCATCTGAAGCCTTCTTCTCTCAACTCGTCATAGTCATCCTCCATCCAGCTTTGTTCCATTGCTGGTGAGGAGCTGCATTCCTTTGGAGGAGGAGAGGTGCTCTGATTTTTAGAATTTCAGTTTTTCTGCTGTTTTTCCCCCATCTTTGTGGTTTTATCTACCTTTGGTCTTTGATGATGGTGTCGTACAGATGGGGTTTGGGTGTGGATGTCCTTTCTGTTTTTTAGTTTTCCTTCTAACAGTCAGGACCCTCAGCTGCAAGTCTGTTGGAGTTTGCTGGAGGTCCACTCCAGACCGTTTGCCTGGTTATCAGCAGTGGAGGCTGCAGAACAGCAAATATTGCTGAACAGCAAATGTTGCTGTTTGATCGTTCCTCTGGAAGTTTCGTCTTAGAGGGGTACCTGGCTGTGTGAGGTGTCAGTCTGCCCCTACTTGGGGGTGCCTCCCAGTTAGGCTACTCGGGGGTCAGGGACCCACTTGAGGAGGCAGTCTGTCCGTTCTCAGATCTCAAACTGCGTGCTGGGAGAACCACTGCTGTCTTCAAAGCTGTCAGACAGGGACATTTAAGTCTGCAGAGGTTTCTGCTGCCTTTTGTTTGGCTATGTCCTGCCCCCAGAGGTGGAGTCTACAGAGGCAGGCAGGCCTCATTGAGCTGTGGTGGGCTCCACCCAGTTCGTGCTTCCCAGATGCTTTGTTTACCTGCTCAAGCCTCAGCAATGGCAGGCGCCCCTCCCCCAGCCTCGCTGCCGCCTTGCAGTTTGATCTCAGACTGCTGTGCTAGCAATGAGTGAGTCTCCGTGGGTGTAGGACCCTCTGAGCCAAGCGCGGGATATGATCTCCTGGTGTGCCGTTTGCTAAGGGTGTTGGAACAGTGCAGTATTAGGGTGGGAGTGACCTGATTTTCCAGGTGCCATCTGTCACAGCTTTGCTTGGCTAGGGAAGGGAATTCCCTGACCCCTCCCGCTTCCCAGGCGAGGTGTTGCGTCGCCCTGCTTCAGCTCACACTCAGTGCACTGCACCCACTGTCCTGCATCCACTGTCCGACAAGCCCCAGTGAGATGAACCCGGTACCTCAGCTGGAAATGCAGAAGTCACCCGTCTTCTGCTTCTCTCATGCTAGTAGCTGTAGACTGGAGCTGTTCCTATTCGGCTATGTTGGAACCCTCCCAGTCCCAGTAAAATTTTTCATTTGGAAAATAGAAGATGGGAAAAAAACACAGAAGTCACTGATCCATTGCAATAGTGGAATTCTGTAGGTCAGATATTATAAAGATTTTGTTGTGTCCATGTACAAAGTTCTTCGTTCTGACCCTGGATCCACTCTCTGAGGAACTGCCTTGTTTTTTGTTTTGTTTTGTTTTTTGAGACAGAGTCTCGCTTTGTTGCCAGGCTGGAGTGCAGTGGCACAATTTCGGCTCACTGCAACCTCCAGTTCCACTGCCTCAGCCTCCCAAGTAGCTGGGACTACAGGCGTGCACCACCATGCCTGGCTAATTTTTTTGTATTTTTTAGTAGAGACGGGGTTTCACCATGTTGGCCAGGACAATCTCGACCTCCTGACCTGATGATCTGCCCACCTTGGCCTCCTAAAGTTCTGGGATTACAGGCATGAGCCACGGCACCTAGCCTTGCCTGATCTTTTTAAAGATCACACTATATCTACTCAAAGCACACAGAAGAAATTATACAGAAGAAAAACTTAGAGAGAGAGAGATCCTCAGCTTCCTGCAGGACAATGCTAACTTGAGTTTCTTTGGTCATACTGAAGAGTTCTGATCAGACACTCTCCGGTAGAAGAGCACACAGGCATTCCAGTATCTTCAGCATACAACACTGTACAGGTCTGCATTATAATAAAACATTAAGTAAGAAGTCTGTAAAAGTTTTTCTTGTCTTGCAAATCTAAAACAAAGGGTCCATAAATTCAGCAAAAATAACTACTCACTAAACTTGTTAAATTCAAAATATAAAGAAAATGTGGGTCTCTGTAGAGTACTGCTTCGAATGGAGCTCAGGGTACTTCAGTTCTGGGACTAAAACCAATCCCTTACTTGGGAGTGATACTGGGGGGGAGGAGGAAGTAAGGGAGTTGTTCAGTAATGGAGTAAGGAAAAGAAATAGCCTAGAAAAGTCTACATTTAAGCAAATAGCAAGTAACATTTTAAAATATGTTCTATGGATCTCTTGCTACAGCAATGCGAGTGGGAGAGCCAGGAACCCAGTCTCCGAGCGGGACACCACGGATTGTTTTATGAAAATGGCAGCTGGGACGTGGAGGAAGAGCCACCTGCCAGTTGGACTGGAGCCACAAGCTGCACTGTGAACCTGGTCACTTGGTACCAATGCCGTCAGCCCGTGGGTATCTGAGGGGACCTGCCAATTGGACTGCCAAATTCCCCAGTTTGCTCCCAGATATTATAGAAAATTATTTGTATAAATAATGTAAAGAAAACACACCTATGGCAAAAACATATACATGTTCTTTAGCACAGGGTGAAATCATAACTGGCGTCATCTAAACATTTCCTCAAAGATCAGCCAAATCTAGGTAAATTCTGGTAAATATACTATATTCAACCTTAAAGCTTACCACCATTACATGCATGGCTATGGTAGTATGGTATCAACATCTAAACTAGTGAATCTAACACAGGTAAGAATTTTAAAATGCCCCCAGATGACTTCAAGGCCAAATTTCTGCTAAGGTCTCCACAAAATGGCTATTTTCAAATATAGCATATTGTGACTGGGTTTTCTGAGGTACTTTCCCCCATACTTTTTTTGTTCTGGGACTGGGGGCTGTGGAAGAAAAGACTGCTTTGCAATGCTGCATAATAAATATGGTTTTAAAAGTGCAAGTGTTACAAATGTCTTCCCTAATTAATCACACTCCTATATAAGTGAAAAGGTAATCTGAAATTTTGGTGGAAAATTACTTCTGCTGAAACTAATCTTAAGGTTGGACTTCTTTATTCATTAGTTTCCCTTTGATATTCATATCATCCCCTTAACTTACTCCTCTCTCACACCAACATGCACCCCCCCAAGGCTGTCGTAAAGAATTATCTTTAAAAAATCTTATAAGCAGCTACAACATTTTCATTCCAGTTATCAAAGAGGTCATTCATGGTTCTGTAACTAGAACAGAAGTATTAGAAAAAGGATAAAATCTATTGTAGTTGTACATAAAGAATATTACTTCCAATGTTATATAGAACTGTAAATTAAAAATAAAGTAATGGAAAATATCTATTTGTAAATAATTACTTTGATCATAAACTTCTGATCTATATTCTCCTCCAAAGCATTCACACTTCAGGGTCTCACCATTTAGGTCAAAGTCTCCTCTGTGTCATTAAGTGTATATCACTTTCCCTTGCCACTCCCCATAGAGCCCAGACATCAGACAAATAGAAGGTTAAAAAATAAACATCCTGGCTGGGTGCAGTGACTCCTGGCTGTAATCCCAGCACTTTGGGAGGCCAAGGTGGGAGGATCACATTGTGCTCTGGAATTTGAGACCAGCCTGGGCAGTGTGGCAAGACCCCGTGTCTCTACTAAAAATACAAAAAAATTAGCCAGGCTCGGTGGTGTGTGCCTGTAATCCCAGCTACCCAGGAGGCTGAGGCAGAGAATGGCTTGAACCTGGGAGGTAGGGGTTGCAGTGAACCAAGATCACAACACTGCATTCCAGCATGGGCGACAGAGCAAGACTGTCTCCAAAAAATAAATAAATAAATAAATAAATAGAAAGTAAAGTATTATTAACTACTTGTTTTAAAAACAAAATTATTTCCAATTTATGTTCCCTCACATTTCTAAATTTTTGCAAGTGCTATCTCTTCTATCTAAGAAAAGTGTTTCCACTTCATTTCCTGCAAACGTTGATATTAGGTAACACTCAACTCTGACCTACAAAGAATAAGTCTGACTTCCTATGACATTCGAGGAAAAAGCGAAAGGCAGCTTGAAAAGCATCCTCCCGTCCCTGGTCTGGTATTCCAGTGCACCCACAACTTACCTCCCTCTTGCAGATCCCAACACATACTGAGCTGTTCATGGCTCCATCACTGGGCTCACATTCTTCTCATTGCCGGAATGGAATGACCTTCCTCTGCTTGCTTCACTTGGCTCGATAGCTTTTAAGGCTCTGTTTTAAATTTCACCACCAGGCCCTAAATTTCATCCACCACACATGAGGACAATCCTAGGTGGACATCAGAACCCAGCTGGACATCCCATCTCCAGGTGGATACTAGGCCCCCAGTCGATATCTGGCCCCAGGTTGACACCAAGGCTCCAGGTAAACATGAGGCCCAGGGTGAACATTAGGCTTCTGGTAAACACCAGGCCCATGTGGATTACTAGGACCCGGGCAGACGTCAGGCACCAGGTGTACCCTCGGGCCCCATGTGAATATCTATGCCCCAGCTGAACATCAGTCAACAGGTGGATGCCCAAGCCTTGGTAAATACCAGACAACAAGTGAACATCAGGGCCCAGAGAGACATTTGGTCCAGGTGGACACCTAGGTGGCCTGGTGAACATCAGGCTCCTGATAAAAACCCAGGCAACAGAAAGATAACAGACCACACCTAAACACCCAGGCCTCAGGTGGGTGTCAGGCCTCAGCTAAATACCAGGCCCCAAGTGGACACTGAACTCAGCTGCCAGGCTGACACCCAGGCCCCAGTTGCACCCCAGGTCATAGGGGAATATCAGGCCCCAGGAGGATACCCAAGCCCCAAGTAGGTATGAGGTCGCAGGTGAACACCCACCCCCAGAAGAATACCACGCCTCAAGTGAACACAAAGCCCAACGTGGATATGAGAACCCAGGTGGGCACCTGGCCTAGGGAGTATACCTAGGCCCCAGGAACTCATAAGGTCCCAGGTGGGCATGAGCCAGGTAAACCCTCAGGCCCCACGTGCACACGTGGCACCAGGTGAATAATCAGTCCCAATGTGGACACAGGACCACAGGTGAACATCAGGCTCAAGGTTGACACCCAGGCCCCAGGTTTACATGAGGACTCAAGTGAAAACTTCACTCCAAATGGACATCAGACCCCAGGCGAAATTCAGACCCAGGTGGATACCTAGGCTCCAATTGGACAGCTAGTCCCCAGGACTTCAGGCCCTAGGGTGACACCCAGGCTCCAGGTGGACACCAGGCTCATGGTAGAAATCAAGACACAAGTTGACACTTAAGAACTCAGTAAACATGAAGGCACATGTAAACTACTAGGCCCCAGGTGAACACCCATGCCCCAAGTTGACACCAGGCTCCAGGTGAACGTCAGGTCCCAGGGTGACACCAGGCCTCACATGGGTACCTAGATGCCAGGTGAACATCAGGCCACAGATGGAAACCAAAGCCACAGAAGGGTATCAGATCCCATGGAAACACCCAGGCCCCAGGTGGGAGTCGAGACCCCCTGGTAAACACCAGGCTCCTAGTGGACATTAGGGCCCAGCACAACGCCTGGCCCCAGGTGAACAACAGGCCTAAGGTAGCCATCAGGACCAAGTGGACACTGGATTCAAGCTGTACATCAGGTGTACCACAGTAATCCACACGGGGCCTGGTGTTTACCGGTGTCCAATGTCCCAGTTGGACACCAAGTCACATGGGGACACAGACTCCAGGTGGACACCCAGTCTCAGGATGGAAATCGGGCCCTAGATCAACAGAAGGCCCCAGGGTGACACCCAGGCCCCAGATGGATACCAGGCCCCAGGCGGACATCAGACCCAGGGTGGATACCCATCCCTAGGTAAACACCAGACCCCAGGCAGGTTATAGGTCCCAGGAAAACACCCAGGCCCCAGGGAGAAATCAGACCCTAGGCGAACTCTGGTCTGCAGGTGCACATCAGGCTGGGTATACATCTGGGAACTTGTGTTCACCGGGGGCCTGTGTCCACCCCTTGGACCTGCTGTTCATCTGTGGCCTGGCATTCACCTGGGCCCTGAGAGTCATCCTGATGCCTGATATCCACCTGGGACCTACACAGCCACCTGGGACCTGGTGGTCACTTGAGGGCTGGTGCCCTCCTGAGGCCTGATGTCAACCTGCAGTGTGGGCATCCATTAGGGCCTGATGTCCACCTGAGGTCTGGGGTTCACCTGGGGCTTACTGTCCACGTGGAGCCTTGGTGTCACCCTGGGGCCTAATGTCCACCTGGAGCCTGGTATCCATCTAAAGCCTGGGTTCCACCTGGGGCATTGTTATGTCCACTTGAAGACTCGGTATCCAACTAGAGCCTGAGTTTCACCTAAGACCTGATATCCACGTGAGGCCTGGGTGTCCGCCTGAAGCCTTGGTATCCTCCTTGGGCCTGAAGTCCATCTGTGACATTCAGTGCACCTGGGGCCTGGGTGTAAACCTCGTGCCTGATGTATACGTCAAGTCCAGTGCGCACCCGGGACCCGATGGCCCCCTGAGGCCATATATCCACCTGGAACCAGAGTGTCCATTTGGGGCCTAATGTTCACCAGGAACATAACTATCCACGTGGGGCCTCATGTCTACCTGGGGCCCAGGTGTCAACGTGGGGCCTAGGCATCACCTGGGGCCTGTTGTCCATCTGGAACCTATTTGTCAACTGGGAACCTGATGTCCGCCTGGTGCCTGATGTCCATTTGGAAACTGGAGTCCACCTGGGAACTGGCATACACCTAAGACATAGCGTCAATCTGGTGTTGGATGTCCAATGTTCACCTGGGACTGTCCACTTGAGGCCTGATGTTTGCCTGGAGCCTAGGTCTCCACTTTGCTCCTGAATATTGACTGAGGCCTGGGTGTCCACGTGGGGCCTTATGCCTACCCAAAAAGGGCTGTGGCACAATGCACCTCGCCCAATTCCTGGGAAAAGTTTGTGGAGAGTTGCTGAACACCCACCCCTCACGGTTCAGGAACATGCCCTCCTGAAGACACCATCCAGGAAAGTGACTTCTTGGCCCAGGTCACTGCTCAGGGCATGAAGATCTGGAGATGGCACTGGGAACAGAGATGCAGCTGCAGTCGCTCAGGCTCGCCTCCACCGCCGTCGTGCCACAGGCCGCTGGATGCTTCCAAATCAGGTGCTGGAATTGGGGCCCTGGAGCTTCGCCCCATCCTGCTGCCAACAGGAAAAGGGCAGCGCCAGAGAACGCTGCCCTTACCGCTGCTCCAGGCCTAAGTCAACCTGCTGGGCTAATCCTCAAGGGCAAAGGCCACACGGGCCATCAGCCGCCGCCACCTGATGCGAAGAAAGGCAGCTGAGAAAAGGCTGCCTGCTGGCAAAGCAGCCCCAGAACCAGCCAGCCGGTGGCGCCCAGGGCTGCGAGAACTTTCTCCAAGGTAAGCTCTTGGCCTTCCTTGGTTTTGCTGTACTTTGCAAGTTGTGATTTTCTGAAAAGTGAGTAGGATGTTTTCGGGGCGGCCTTAGCAATTTCTAGCCCTAAGAGTGATGTAGGAGAGTCCCAGTTGCTCCCATCCCCGCTGACACTGAGCGGCCCACAGTTGCTCCCATCCCCGCTGACACTGAGCGGCCCACAGGGGAAAATCCAGAGATGGCTTGATTCCGTCTGACATTTCATTTCAGTGTGGTTTCCAGTGTTTCTTAGGAAACTGGGCCTAGGTTGGTTTGTGTCTTCTTCATACCATCCTTCTCGTACTTTCTTTGTGTTCTTTCCTGGTTGCTATTTTCACTTTTCTTATACTGAATACGTAGGTCCCACGTTTCCATTCCTTCTTCCTTTCCAGTCTGTGTGTATTCTGTGCAACGCCTGTGCTAGGTAACATCGGGCCCCAGGTGAACACTTTTGACCCCAGGTGGACGTGAGGCTCCAGGTGAATACCCAGCACCTACGTGGACACCAGGCCCCACATGGACAGCAGTCCCCAGGTAAATATAAGGCCCCAGTTTGAAACCCAGCACCCACCTGAGTCAAGATGACACCTTCCCCACCGCGTTGGCAGGAGGGGCAATTCCCAGATGACAAGGGGCAGGGCCAGAGCAACTCTCTACACACTCTCCCCAGGACAAGGGCGGGTGCGTGGGACACACCCCCTCCAGGTGGGCATAAGGCCCCAGCGGACACAAAGGCCCCAGGAAAACGTCGGGCCCCAAGTGCACACTGGACTCAAGGTGGACGTTGGACACCAGGCCCCGGGTGGACAACAGGTCCCAGAGGGACTCCAGTTCCTGCATGGACATCAGGCCTCCGCTGGACATCAGGTCGCAGTTTGGCATGGAGGCCCCAGGTGGATATGAGGCCCCAGCTAGACATCAGGCCCCAGGTGAACGCCCAGGCCTCAGGTAAATACCAGGCCCCAGGTGGACCCGAGGCCCCAGCTACGTACCAGGCCCCAGGTGGAAACCTGGCCACAGATGGACATCAGGCATCTTGGAGGAACACCAGGCGCCACTTGAACCCCAGGCTCCAAGTGGATGTCCAGGCCCCAAGTAAGTATCAGGGCCAAGGTGAACAGGGGGCCCCAAGTGGACAGCAGGCCACAGGTGGATGCCTAGGCTCCTGGTGAACAGCAGGTCCCTGGTGAGAATTAGGCCCCAGACGGACACCCTGACCCCAAGGGAACATCTGATTCCAGATGGACATCGGGTCCTGGATAAGCACACGGTCCCTATATAGACATCAGCTCCAAGTAGACACTAGTCCCCAGATAGACATAAGGCCCCAGGTGCACACGGACTCAAGGTGTCCATCAAGCACCAGGCTCACACCCAGGCCACAGCTGGACACAAAGTCACAGGTGGACAGCCATCCCACAGAGAATACCAAGGACTCAGGTGGACATCCAGGCTCAAGGGGAGCATGAGGCCCTATGTAGGCAGCAGGCACAGGATGTGTATCAGACTCCAGGAGTACAATAGGCCCGAAGTGGATACCAGGCCCCATCTGAGTATCAATCCTCATGGGACAGCACGCTCCATATGGACACCAGGCATCAAGTACATGCCTAGGCCCCTGGTGCGTATCAGGCCCCATGGGGACACTCAGACCAGAGCTGGACATGTGGCCCCAAGTGGACACCCAGGACCCAGGTGGATACCTATACCCAGGGCTTCAGGCTTCAAGGGACCACAAGGCCCCAGGTGGCTGTGGAGGCCCCAAGTGGATATCAGGTACCAAGCTGACACCCGGGCACAGGTGGACACAAGGCCCCAGAGGATCAAGAGGTCCAAGGTGGACAACAGGTCTTAGGTAAGCAACAGTAACCAGGTGGATACCCATACCCCAGGTACAAACCAGGCCGAAACCAGGCCTCAGCAGCACACCAGGCCTCAGGAGGATACCTAGGAACCGGGTGGACATCAGGCCCCAAGTGTCCACTGAGGCCCCAGGTCAAAACCAGGCTCCTGAAGGACACCTGGGCCCCAGGTGGACACTTGACTCCAAATGGATATCAGGCTCTGGGTGGACATAGGCCCCAGGTAGATACCTTGGCTCCTGGTGAACATTAGACCCCAGGTACACATCTAGGTCCCACGTGGACATCCGGGCCCAGAAAGTCCTCAGGCACCGAGAAACACTCAGGCCCCAGCTGGACATCTGGTCCCAGGCTGACACCCAGGCCTCAGGTGGACACCAGGTGCTAGAAGAACTTCAGGCCCCTGCTAAAATCAAGCCCCGGGTGGATACCCAGGCCTTATACCAGGTCCCAGGTTTTAGATTTTATAAAAATAGAAAAGTTAGCCAGGCATTGTGGGGCATGCCTGTAATCCCAGCTACCTGGGTGGCTGAGGCAGTAGAATCACTTGAATCCGGGAGGTGGAGTTTGCAGTGAGCCAAGATTGCGCTACTGCACTCCAGCCGGGGCGACAGAGGGAGACTCCATCTCAAAAAAGAAAATAATATTCTCTGCATAATTAATTTGTGTTTTTGACTGATAAAGCACACCAGAGTTGAACATATTCTTATTAATATAAGTCATGTTTAAGAAAAACTAGAATTCGAAATTTGAACCTCAGCAAATCAATACCAGTCATTACTCAAATGGCATAAAAATAAGAAAAAGTGGCCATAGGTTATTACAATATTTGTGTTTAACTTGTAGAGAATATACACATTTATTTAAATTCTAAGGTTAAAATATTTTGTGAATGATTAATTTTCTTCTTGCAAAATCCATTGAGAATATAGTAGTCCTCCTTTATCCATAGGGGATACATTTCAAGATCTTCAGAGGATGCCTGAAACCACAGATAGTACTAAATCCAATATAGATTATCTTTGTTTCTACACATGCATGCCCTATGATTAACTTTCACCTTTTCACTTAAAAGGAACACTTTATGGCTTCTCTTTGGCATTTTTGAATTGCCAGCATCAGTACTTTTGCACTTTGGGGCCATTAAGTAAAACAAGATTTCTTTGAACACAAACACTGTGATATCTCAACAGAGGATTTGACGACTCAGAGAGCTGCTAAGTGACTAACAAGTGGGAAGGTAGACAGGTAGATGTTGTGGGCAGAGATGATTCACGTCCTGGGTGGGCCTTGAGTAGAGGGGGATGACAGGAGCTCCCACCACACTACTTGGAACAGCACAGCAAGTTAAAACTTGTCAGTTGTTTATCTGTGGATTTTTCATTTAATGTTTTCAGACCAGGATTGCCTGTAGGTAAGTGAAACCGTGAAAGCCAAATGCAGCTTACGTGGGACTACGGTATTAGAAAGAGATGTTAACAGAAGCGATCATGCTGTCACAGCCCCTGGTGTGCTGTTACTCACATTTTAAAACAAAATCATTCATTATAAAAGCTAGTCTGTTTAAGTGAGGAGTATAGTGCTACTATGTTAGATTGCACATGCTGGAAAATATTCTCTGTAAAAATGCAGCCCTCAATTTCAAAGCTGTTTTTTCAGTTTTAAAACTGGCTTTTATTGGCTGGGCACAGTGGCTTACACCTGTAATCCCAGCACTTTCAGAGACCAAGGTGGATGGATCACAAGGTCAGGAGTTCGAAACCAGCCTGCCCAACATGGTGAAACTCTTGTCTCTACTAAAAATACAAAAAAATTAGCCAGACACTAGCTGGGTGCGGTGGCTCACGCTTGTAATCCCAGCACTTTGGGAGGCCGAGGCAAGTGGATCACGAGGTCCAGAGCTTGAGACCAGCCTGGCCAATATGGTGAAACCTCGTATCTACAGAAAATACAAAAAGTAGTTGGGCGTAGTGGTGCGCGCCTGTAGTCCCAGCTGCTTGGGAGGCTGGGGCAGGAGAATTGCTTGAACCCAGGAGGCAGCGGTTGCAGTGAGCCGAGATCGCACCACTGCACTCCAACCTAGGTGACAGAGCAAGACTCGGTCTCAAAAAAAAAAAAAAAAAAAAATTAGCCAGACACCAAATGCCAGGGTGTCTGGGTAGAACAGAGTTGGAGCAATGAGATGTTGTATAGCCCAGAAAGGGGAGGTGACATGCCCAGGGACACACAGAAAAGCAGCACTGGGGACCTGCAGCCCACCTTGACCCCACTGGCAGCCGTCTCTGATCCACCTCTGTTCCGTGGTTTCTCCCCACCCTAAAGGTTCTACTCTGCTCATGTGCCTCAAATCCACTTCAACTGTGCAGACATCAAGGAAGCCTTCCCTGGCCTCAGCCTGAGGGAGAGCTGCTTCTGTCTGAGCCAGATCCTAAAACCAGTAAATGGACATTCTAAGGAGACAGGTTTTGGCTTAACCCAAGAAAGACTTCCTGGGAACTGAATCTCTCCAGATAGGCCACGAGCTACCTGAGGACATAGTGAGCACACTATGACCAGGGGTATGCAAGCAGACAGGTAACCAATGTGGCATGGGCTGCTCTGAAATAACATATGATGCAGCACTTGGCATGAGCTCCAGCACCTGGTCAGCAAGCACCTCATCAATGTTTATCTTATCTCTGTCCCATCAGACATGGCAAGTATCCTGTCCCTCAGGGAATTCAAGCAGAGGCTCTAGGATTACTGGACTCTGAGTGCCTGGCACAGGACTCCGTCCAGAGCAGGCAGGTACTCGAGGTGTTTGACAAACTGAATGACCCCTGCCATCTGGCCACGTAGGCAAGTGAGGAGCCTGCTCACCTTGAGGTGCCCCAGGTGCATGCGGGTCTGCTCACACATATGCAGAACGTACTTGACTTTACTCCCGTCCACGATGATGTACAAATCTGCTTTCCTCTTGAAGCCGGCATCCAGCAGGTCTTTGAAGATGTCCACATGGGTGAACATGTCCATGACCACAGCTATCACCCAGGAGCAAGAAGAGAGACAGGGGCCTGTCAGACAGCACAGCAGTGGGGACACGGTGCCTCAGCAGAACGCACAGCCCTCCCATGCCACCAGCTTCTCACGGGTGCCCACTCTGATCCCACTCCTGGAACCTCAGGACCGGGACCAGGAAGTGAAGGGCATGGGGTCTCTCTTGCCCTGAAGTTCTAGCTGCAGCCCCAGCTCTGGACTCACCAGGGACCCCGTGTTGGTGCATTCCCAGGCCAGGGCTGGCTACACTCTGCCCTCCTCGTAACACCTAGGGATGCTGAGGTGAACCAGATGTGTCAATGGCCAGGGGAGAAGGGCAGCAGCTGGCGTGGCCACTTGCTGGGACCTCCCCTGCATCCCTGGGCTGATGTGGATAGAATGATAGAAAAATAAGAAACCTGAACAGACCAATAATGAGTAATGCAATTAAAGCAGTAATAAAAAGTCTCCCGTCAAAGAAACCCACAAGAATCATGGTTTTACTGCTGAATTCAACCAAATGTTTTAAAAGAGCTAATACCAATTTTACCAAAACATTCCCCCAAAGAATGAAGAGGAAGGAATGCTTCCAAACTTGTTCTATGAGGCCAGAATTACCTTGGTACAAAAAGCAGACCAAAACACAACACAAAAAGAAAACCACAGGGAAACACTCCTGATGAACACAGATGCAAAAATCCTCAGCAAAATACTTGAAAAATGCATTTGACAAGACAATAAAAATATCATTTGCCATAATCAAGTGGGATTCATCCCAGGAATATGAGGATGATTCAATAAACACAAATAAATAAATGTGCTACACCACTTTCAGTGAATCAAAGAAAAAACCATATAATCATTTCGGTAGATGCTGAAAAAAATTAAACATTCCTTCATAATAAAAATTCAACAAAATGAGTACAGAAAAAAAACATATCTCAGCACAATAAAGGCCATATATGACAAAAACACAGCTAACATCATAAACAACGGGAAAAAGTTAAAAACTCTTCCTCTAAGATCTGGAACAAGTGTGGCTACTTTTTTTTTTGAGGTGGAGTCTTGCTCTGTCACCTAGGCTGGAGTGCAGTGGCGTGATCTCAGCTCACCGCAAGCTCTACCTCCCAGGTTCACACCATTCTCCTGCCTCAGCCTCCTGAGTAGCTGGGACTACAGGCGCCTGCCACCACGCCCAGCTTTTTTTTTTTTTTTTTTGTATTTTTAGTAGAGACGGGGTTTCACTCTGTTAGCCAGGATGGTCTTGATCTCCTGACCTCGTGATCCGCCCACCTCGGCCTCCCAAAGTGCTGGGATTACAGGCATGAGCCACTGTGCCTGGCCCAAGTGTGGCTACTTTTACCACTTTTATTCATCATAGTACTGGAAGTCTGAGCTAGAGCAATTAGACAGGAGAATGCAATAAAAAGCATCCAAATGGGAAAAAAGGAATTCAAATTGTCTCTGTTTGCAAGTGACATGATCTTTTACATATGGAGAGAATCCTAGAGATTATACAACAAAACCTACTAGAAACAATAAATATAGTAAAGTTACTAGACACAATATCAATATACAAAAATGAGTAGCACACGCATGCGCCAATAGTGAAACACCTAAGAAAGAAATCAAGAAAGCTATTTCATTACTGCTACCACCAAAAAAATACCTAGAGATAACCAAAAAGGTTAAAGATCCCACAACAAAATTATAAAACATAGATGAAAAATATTAAAGCAGACACATGTAAATGGACAGATATCCCATGTCCAAGCACTAGAAGAATATTGGTAAAATATCTGTATCACCCAATGTGAGCTACAGAATCAATGCAATCCACGTTAAATTACAAAACACATTCTTCATAGAAATAGAAAAAAAATTCTAAAATTCACATGGAAATGCAAAATACCTCAGATAAAATAATCTTGAATAAAAAGAAAAAAGCTGGAGGCATCACAATACCTGGTTTCAAAATATACTACCAAAATACCATGGAACTGGCGAAAAAAGGAGCAAGGAGAGACAGAGACAGACAGACAGACATAGATGAATGACAGAGACAAAGACAAATGAAACAGTGTAGAGAACTCAGAAATAAATTCACGCATTTACAGTCAACTCATTTTTAACAAAGGCACCAAGAACACACCTTTGGGAAGGACAATCTCTTCAGTAAACGCTAGGAAAACACAACACCCACACGTACGAGAATAAATTTAGATCTTTATCTTACCATATACAAAAATCTACTCAAAGATTGACATGTAGAACCTGAAACTATGAAACTACTAGAGAAGAAGACATAGGATAAATACTTCATGGAATTGGTTAGGACAAGGGATTTTGAAACAGACATCAAAAGCACAAGCAACAAAAGCCAAAATAGAGAAATGCAATTACATTAAACTTAAAACTTCTGCAAAGCAGAGGAAGCAATCAATAGAATGAAGAAACAAACCAGACAATGGAAGTATTTGCAAACTATACATCAGGCAAAGGGTTAATACACACAACATATAAAGAACTGAAGCTACTCAAAAGCAAAAATACAAATAATCTGATTTAAAAATCAGAAAAAGATCTACTCAAAACCTTTGTCCCCCACCATTATTTCCCCATCTTTTTTTCCCGACGACCTTTGGCCCCCTCTCTTTCGCCACCCTTTTTCTTCCTCCATCTACCCCAAAACTTTTTCCCCCACCATCTTTTCGCAAAGCCTTCTCTACTCACCCGCTCACTACAGTTTTCCCCACCCATCTACCCAAAACCTTTTCCCCACCGTCTTTTCTCCCTCTCCCTGGCCACCCTTTTTTGCCCCTCCGGCTCTCATCACCCTCTTTTGTTCCTTCATCTCCCCAAATACATTTTCTCCCATCTCTTCCCAAAGCCTTCTCTCCACTCCTGCTGCTCGCCACCCTCCTTCCCCCTCCATCTACCCAAAAACTGTTTCCCCATCGTCTTTTTCTTCTTTCCTCCTTGCCATCCTCTTTCCCTTCTCCATCTACCCAAAAACATCCCAGCCATCTTTTTGCAAAGCCGCCTTCCTACTCCTCCTTACCACCCTCGTTTACCCATCTACCTCCCCAATTTTCCCCCACCGTCTTTTCACAAAGGCCTTCCCTGCTTCCCGCTCACCCTCTTCTTTCCTCTATCCTGTTTGCCACCCTCTTTTTGCCCTCCATCTACCCCAAACTATTTTCCCTATCATCATTTTCCCAACTCTCCCCACTCCCCCTGGGCACCTTCTATTCTCCTCTCACTTGCCACCCTCTTTTCCCCCTCCATCTACCCACTTTCTACCCACCGTGTTTTCTTTCTGCACTTTCTTTTCTGCCCACTGGTTTTTCCCAAAACCTTTTCTCCCTGCTCGCCACCCTCTTTATCTTTCTCCCGCTTGCCACCCTCTTTTCCCCTCCATCTACTTAAAAGCTTCTCTCCTCACTGCCTTTTCACAAAACCTTCTCTCCCTCCTGCTCGCCACTCTCTCCTCCCCCTCCCTCTCTGCACCCTCTTTTCTCCTCCCACTTGCCACCCCTTTTTCCCGCTCCATCTACTCAAAATCTTTTTATCCACCCTCTTCTTTCCCTTTCTTTTTTTCCCAACTGTATTTTTGCAAACTTTCTCTCCCTCCTGCTCACCCCCGTTCCCCCCACCACCCTCTCTTTCCCCCTTCCATCTACCCAAAAACTTTTTCCCCACCATCTTTCCGCAAAACCTTCTCTCCCTCCTGTTCACCACCGTTTTTCCCCCTCCACCTACCCCCAACATTTTTTCCCCACCGTCTTTTCCTCACTGTCTTTTTTGCAACACCTTCTCCTGCTCGCCATCCTCTTTTCCCTTTGGCACTAACCACCCTCTTTACTCCTCCATCTACCCCAAAACTATTTTCCCCTTCCTACCGCTCCAGCCACACTGCAGTCTCCGTCGCTGCCACCAACCGCAGCGAGGCGAGCTGTGGTGCCGCAGCCACAGCCTCCAGCATGCAGCGGTGGCTAGCCCTTGTCCTGGTCCTCTAAGCCGGGAACGGAGCAGCCCAGCGCGCAGACACGCATGAGCCTAGAACGGCCTGACACCCCTTCAGCACCATTTATATACTGAGGTTATGCATATGAGGTTCCTGGACTACATGTTCCAGGATTGGGTAAGAGAAAACGCAGAGGCCTACTCTGATTGGACTTTGTTAGCATGTTCTGATTGGATGAGAGCAAGTCTTAGGACAACCAGTCAGCGTATGAAATAAAGTCCAATCAGAGAAGGCCTAGAGGTTTTCTCTCATCCAATCAGAACATGTAGTTCAGAATCCTTGTGCATAACCCCATGTGCATGCTGAGGAGGCCTCACGCCATCCTAGGCTTTCCTAAATCGGCCGGCGGAGCTACTCTGTTCCTAGCTTAGCAGATCAAGAGAAGGGGGAGCTGGATGCTGGAGCCTGCAACACTGTGGCTCGCCTCGCTACAGTTGGCAGTGGTGACAGAGACAGCAGGCAGCACGGCCAGAGCGGTAGAAGGGAGGATGGCAGCGGGAGCTGCTCTTGACTGGCTAGCGGTCTAGAAGAAGGGGGGCCCCCTGCTCCACGCTGGAGGCTGGAGCCTTGGCCACCGAGGCTCCTCTGGCTGCGGTTGGTGGTGGCGACCGAGACTGCAGGTCTGTTAGAGTGGTAGAAAGTTTGCCGGGTAGGTGCACTCTTTGCGGCTGCACTGCCCTCCTGCAGGGGGTTGGGGAGGCATATTTGGTAAGCTGTTGAGGCTGCAGTGCCTGCCGCAGGGGTAGGGAGGGGCTGGTGGGGGCGCTATCTGGCATTGCATTGCTGTGGGGGTGGGGGGCAGGTTGGCTGAGTTATCAGGGCCTACAGTGCCCAAGGTCGAGGGGTTGGAGGCAGGTTGTGTGCGCTATTGTGCACAGCCAGCGGCTCATGGGGGCAGGTTAGGGGTGTTATTTGCTGCACTGCCAGAGGCAGGGGGCAGGTTGGGTGTGCTATCCTGGGCTACAATGCCAGCAACAATGTGGGCCGGCAGTCGGGGGAGGTTTAGGGGAGCTGTCAAATGCTGCAGTGCTTGTGGGGGAAGGGGGAAAGGGGAAGGTGGGGTGGGGGGTTTGGTTGGGTGCACTATCCTGGGCATTCACTGCCCACGATGGGAGCAGGTTGGGGGCGCTATCCAGGGCTGTGCTGCCTGTGGCCCTGGTGGGGGGCTGGTTTGGGGCGCTGTCAGGTGCTGCAATGCCGGTAGCGGGATTGGCTGTGGACACCATCAAATGCTACACTGCTGGGGGCAGAGTGGTGGTTTGGGGGCACTATTGGGGTTACATTGCCTACTACGGTAGTCTCTGGGTGTGTTGTGGGTGCAATCCGGGGGCTGCATTGCCGGCAGCGGGGGCCAGGTTAGGGGCGCTATCGGGGTCTGCACTGCTGCCACCAGAGGCAGGTTGTGGAGGTGGCCGGGACAACGGTTGCCTCCGAGGAAGGGGACCTTCTCCTTTTCTCAGACTCAGGGCTCTAGAGAGAGAACTCCTCCTGCTCGTGTGGGAGTGTGGCGGGCGCACAGAGTTTTCATGCCAATCCTCTAAGCATGGCAGGGCCCCCACACCCACTGTGGTTCCCCAGCCCTTGCCCTCTCGCTCCATGTTGTGGAGACCATCTGGGACCTCCAGGCATGGAGCAGGAGTAGTGGGCACCACGGGGGCTCAGGGCCTGTGGGTGGAGGAGTCAGGAATGGGAACCAGTACTTGGGTGGGGAGTACTGGCTGAGTGTGAGTTTCTGCTGTTCCTGCTCCCCAGGGAGTGTTGGGCACTGTGGTGTCTCCAGTCCCCACCCCAGGTCAGGAGGCCAGCTTGGGCCAGGAGGAGAGGCTGGACTTTGGCAGGTGAGTGTGAATGCCTTTGCTGAAACTGGCCGCTGCCACCCAGTGGCCAGCATGACAAGGCGAGGCTTTAACACTACCACTTTCTGCATCCCGTTGTAGGTTTTTCTGGCTTTTCCTCTCCAGCTGTTCCAAGCCAGGCTGGTGAAGTAGGAGTCACCTGTGGTGAGCTGGAGGTTGGAGCCTGTAGATGGCGTGGCTCTGTGGCTCACTTCCTGTGGTTGTGGCAGTGACAGCGATGGAGACTGCAGCTCGACAGGAATGGTAGGAGGGTGCCCGTGGAGGCCAGGTGGAAGGAGCCCTGGAGGGTGGGTGGGTGCATGGAAGGTGACAGAAGCACTGGTTGTGTTGGCATCGGCGGTAATAGTGGTAACAGCAGCAAGTCTGGGGGCCGGGAAGGGGGAGTAGGAGAGCTTTGGGGCCTGGCCTGGCCTGGGGTGTGTAGGAAGCTGCTGGTTCTGTACTGCAGGCCTCAGTGACAGTGGTGGAGGTGCAGCCAGGGCAAGGAGGAGTCCTCCCCTTTCTTCTGCAGTTTCTGGAGGGTGTCCTCCTCCTGCTGGTGCCTGAGCCAGGAGTGAGTGGCAGCATTGTCTCATTCTTAACAGAATTTAGGGGGTGACTAGTTGTGTGTCTTTTTGCTTGTGTTTGTTTTGATAACTTATCCCTTAAGGAACAAAAGGCTTCTTTGGCTGGGTTTTGGTGTGGTGGGATCCCCTTCCCATGCAAGATAAAGGGTGCTTTCCTGGGAAGGTGTGTGTTGGAGGGAGTTCATCAAGGAGAAGAAAGGGAACCTCCCAGGAGGGTGGCTGCTGTGGCAGATCCCCTACCTCTGGGCAGCCTCTGGGCCACCTAGTTTCTCCTGTGGAAGAAGGGAGGCTTAGACCTGTGTCACCTGTATCATCAAAGAGGCATCCTGGCTGGGCCTCCTGTGGAAGAAGGGAGGCTTAGACCTGTGTCACCTGTATCATCAAAGAGGCATCCTGGCTGGGCCTCCTGTGGAAGAAGGGAGGCTTAGACCTGTGTCACCTGTATCATCAAAGAGGCATCCTGGCTGGGCCTCCTGTGGAAGAAGGGAGGCTTAGACCTGTGTCACCTGTATCATCAAAGAGGCATCCTGGCTGGGCCTCCTGTGGAAGAAGGGAGGCTTAGACCTGTGTCACCTGTATCATCAAAGAGGCATCCTGGCTGGGCCTCCTGTGGAAGAAGGGAGGCTTAGACCTGTGTCACCTGTATCATCAAAGAGGCATCCTGGCTGGGCCTCCTGTGGAAGAAGGGAGGCTTAGACCTGTGTCACCTGTATCATCAAAGAGGCATCCTCCTGGGCCAGTCGATTTGGCCTTCCCACTTCTTCAGCCCACCTGCCCATGGTGTCACCTGGGGGAAGTGGATCCTCACACCACAGGGGCAGAGGCTTCTCCGGCAGGCTGGTTGCTGAAAGGGGTTCTGTCCTGCCTGCTGCTCAGGAGGGATTCTATGGCCAGGAACTGATGCTGGGACTCTCCTGTTCATGTCCTGCTGCCTCTGTGTTGTCTCTGGGTTCTCAGGGACTCTCAGATCTGTGAAGACAAAAAGGTTTCCTGGCTAGTTTGCGTGGTGTGGCTGGGGTCACTTTTGCTACATGCCCCTCAGGCACCCCAGTGCCTCTGGGGAAAAAGGGAATTTTAGATTTACTAGAGAAAGAATGTGTCTATGTTGGCTGCTTATTGTTAGCAAACTTCTGAACAGTTCTACTCTAAGATCATGGCAGAATGGTTGCCTCTTGTTGGATAGACTCCCGCTCCACTGGGGAAGAAACGAGCTTACCTGGACTGTGTTTCTTGCTGGCTTGAGGGTAGAAAACGCTAGGTTTTTGTCTGCTTTTTCAGTTGAGTTAGGGAAGTGACATGCAGTGCCACTTCAGTTCTGGAGTCCTTAGATTGCCTTCTTTGTAGCACCATCCAGCATTCTCCTTCAGTGAGATAATAAGGGAGGGTTCCTAATCTAACAGGAAAAGTGGAATGGTGTTCTTATATTGTACAACAAGAAATATGAACTAATTCTGAAAAATTTAGTCGTTCCTCTTTTAAATTTAGAAACCCCTTATTATATTTATAATATTTAAAACCATTAAAAATTAAGATGTCATAATTAAGATAATCTTTTAACATTTTACATTAATTAGCATTTAGCAGATGACCATAACAAATTATTTTTATTATGTTACATTAATTGCCAATACAGATTTCTTTCTGGTTATTACAAATCTGTTTGCAAAATTTTATTTTGTCATTTATTAAATTTTTGGATAATTAGTTGCTACATTATAGGTATACAAACTTATAGTGTTAATTATGGCTACAAATACTTAAATTCAGTTTTAGTATCTTTTATTAATAGTCTAAAACTTATAAAATGCTTTGTGCATTAATATTGGTAACATTTTTTAGTATGAATTATCATTTCAAAAATGTTAAGAACATAGCTTTTCCATCTTTTATTTATTTATTTATTTTTTATTTTTTTGAGGTGGAGTCTTGCTGTGTCGCCCAGGCTGGAGTGCAGTGGTGTGATCTCAGCTCACTGCAACCTCTGCCTCCCGGGTTCAAGTGATTCTCCTGCCTCAGTCTCCTGAGTAGCTGGGATTACAGGCACGTGCCACCACACCTGGCTGATTTTTGTGTTTTTAGTAGAAATGAAGTTTTACCATATTGGTCATGCTGATCTTGAACTCCTGACCTCAGGTGATTCACCTGCCTTGGCCTCCCAAAGTGCTGGGATTACAGGCATGAGACACCACGACTAGCCTATTTATTTATTTTAGAGACAGGGTCTTCCTCTGTTGCCCAGGTTGAAGTGCAGTGGTGTAGTCATAGCTCACTGCAGGCTCAAACTCCAGGGCTCAAGAGATTCTCCTGCCATGGCCTCCCAGAGTGCTGGGATTACAGGCATGGGCCATTGCGCCTGGCCTAAATTGTAATAATTTTATAGTTTGCCTCAAACGAGGGCTGACATCTGGGCAAGGTCTGCTGGGGGCCTCCCACATGCAAGCAGTCTCTCTGCTGTGCCCTCCACCAGCTCTGAGGGCCCCCTGCCACAAGCACCGCTCTCTCCTTTCCCCTCTGGGGAAGGCCAGGAGAAGTGACTTTTGAGGTTACCTGAAGGACTTCTGTCTGTTTGGAAAAGGGTGTGAAGCTGAAGCCGATGGCCTCAGTGCCCAAAGGAGAACGCTTCTTACTGGCCTATGGAAGCCACTGGCCTGACAGTGGGGTCCTGGTCTTGGGGGTCTCAGCCACGTGGCCACCCATTCCTTCCTCACTTAGGCATCCACCTAGCGGGCTGCTCACACCCCCTTCCATCCTGTTTGTGTTCAGCCAATCAGGCAAGCCAGGGTTATAGCCCTCCCTGCCCTGGGCCCTGGCTCCATGAAGCACCATGGGCCTTGGAAGACCTCCCCAAATCATCCCATCTCCCCAGTACCTTCTGCCAAGGCAGAAGTTTCCCCGGGCCCCTGCTCTGACTGTTTCCTTGGCACAGTTTGTAGCTGTGCCTGATACGGCACACCTACCTGGTTTCCGTCCCAAACCCACAGCCAGGCCATGTGACAGCTGCTGCCTGTGCCCAAACATTCATCCAGCCCCACCCAGGAGAGCCAGACAGGCACTCACCCCCCCACCCACACCCTCCCCCACACACCCCCACCCACACCCTCCCCCACACACCCCCACCCACACCCTCCCCCACACACCCCCACCCTCACATCCCCACCCACACCCTCGCCCACACCCCCACCCACACCCTCACTCACACACCCTCACCCACACACCCCCACCCACACCCTCACCCACACACCCCCACCCACACCCTCACCCACACACCCCCACCCTCACACCCCCACCCACACCCTCGCCCACACCCCCACCCACACCCTCACCCACACACCCCCACCCTCACATCCCCACCCACACCCTCGCCCACACCCCCACCCACACCCTCACCCACACCCTCACTCACACACCCCCATCCAAACCCTCCCCCCCACACCCCCACCCACACCCTCGCCCACACCCCCACCCACACCCTCACCCACACACCCCCACCCACACCCTCACCCACACACCCCCACCCACACCCTCACCCACACACCCCCACCCACACCCTCACCCACACACCCCCACCCACACCCTCACCCACACACCCCCACCCTCACACCCCCACCCTCACACCCTCACTTGCCTGGCCCTGCCACACCCCACCCTTCCTCTAAACCTACTGGGGCAGCAGCTTCCCCTACGTTCCGCCTGCTCCACCTCCTCCTAGAGTTGGGTCACACACAGTTTCCCACACCCTTGGCAGGTTGGTCATGGCCCTGGCAGGTCTGAGGACAAGATGGTCACAGGACTGTGTGCAGCATAGAAAAGTCAGGGAGTGCAGCCTCCTACTCTGTGCCAGCTGCCAGCCCCTGGAGCTTACTAGGCTGATGGGGACAAAGAATGCACCAGAGGGGACAGTAGTCCACCACAGGACTGATGGGAGGTTCACAGATGCACTGAGTGCCCTGTTGCATTGGTCCTCAGGGGTAGATGCTGAGATGGAGTTAGGAGAGCAAAGGGGAGGAAGGGAGCTGGGCATGGTAGCTCATGCCAGTAAATCCTAGCATTTGGGGAGGCCAAGGTGGGAGGATTTCTTGAGGCCAGGAGTTTGAGACCAGCCTGGGCAACATAGCAAAACCCTGTTTCTACAAAAAAAATAAAAATAAAAAAAATTAGCCTGGCGTGGTGTCTGTATTCCCGATTACTCAGGAGGCTAAGGTGGGAGGATCAGTTGAGCCCAGGAGTTGGAGGCCACAGTGAGCTATGATCATGCCTGCACTCCAGCCTGGGCAACAGAGCAAGACTCTGTCTCAAAAAGAAAAATAAATGGGGAGGAACTGGATTGGGCAGAGGGCACCAGCAGAGGAGCTCTGGATCTAAGTGCCTGACAGAGGAGTCCCCTGTTAGACAGAAAAGGCCCTGATACCACTTGCTCAGTCACTGGCCACCAGGGAAGAGGGTGGCCTCGAACTGAGAGCTGAGGGGACCCGGAAGGTGCTGACAGCTGGGCAGAGAGTGAGTCCTTTTGAAGGGGCATATCGCCTTCCCCACTCACTCCTGCTGGGCTACGCTGGGTAGTGGGCGCCCTGGGTTGCAGACATTAAGCCTTTAGAATGGAAGCTGGTTGATGGCAGGACTACTGCCAGCTAGACTCTGTCACCCCTGGTCTGTCACAGGCCAGGACCCACAAGGTCCTTGGCATGCTTAAGTGAATGTGTACAGGAATGAGGGAATGAACTTCCTCGAAAGAATCCTGGCGTGGTGAGATTCTGGAACTTGGCCTCAGGGACCTGCATTCACATTCAGTCCTGGCCCTTCTAAGCTCTGTGGCCTCTAACCTGCCCTAGGCGTTAATTTCCCTGTTGGTGAAATTAGAGTGATGATGCCTGTCATGATATTTCTGTTTTCTTTTTTCTTTTCTTTGACCCTTTCTTTCCTTTCTTTTCTTTGATCCTTTCTTTCCTTTCTTTTCTTTCTTCTTTCTTTCTTTTTTTTTTTTCTTTTTGGAGTCTCACTGTGTCACCCAGGCTGGAGTGTAGCAGCACAATCTCAGCTTACTGCAACCTCTGTCTCCTGGGTTGAAGCAATTCTTGTGCCTCAGCCTCCCAAGTAGCTGGGACTACAGGCATGCGCCACCACGCCCAGCTAACTTTTTGGTGTTTTTAGTAGAGATAGGGTTTCACCATGTTGGCCAGGCTGGTCTCGAACCCCCTATGAAGAGATCTACCACCTTGGCCTCCCAAAGTGCTGGGATTACATGCATGAGCCACCATGCCAGGCTGTCATGATATTTCAATAAAGTGATGTAGAATCATGTAGGCCATGACCTTCCTTAGGTGGAGCAGAAAATGTCACCTCCATGTAAAAAAAGGAACAGGGACCAAGTGCGGTGGCTCACGCCTGTAATCCCAACACTTTGGGAGGCCGAGGAGGGCAGATCACCTGAGGTCGGGAGTTCGAAACCAGCCTGACCAACACGGAGAAACCCTATCTCTACTAAAACTGCAAAAAATTAGCCGGGCGTGGTGGCGCATGCCTGTAATCCCAGCTACTGGGGAGGCTAAGGCAGGAGAATCACTTGAACCAGGGAGGCAGAGGTCGCAGTGAGCCGAGACCGTACCATTGCACTCCAGCCTAGACGACAAGATTGAAACTCCATCTCAAAAAAAAAAAGAAAATAAATAAATAAAATAAAATAAAATAAGGAACAGGAGCAGGAAGAAAATACACCAGCCAGGAATGTTAACAGTCATTGTCTCTGGGTGATTTTTTTATAAGTTTGGTTTTTTTTGAGACAGAGTCTCACTCTAGCGCTCAGGCTGAAGTGCAGTGCGGTGATCTTGGCTCATTGCAGACTCCACCTCCCAGGTTCAAGCAGTTCTCCTGCCTCAGCCTCCCAAATAGTTGGGATTACAGGTGCCTACCACCAGGCCCAGTGAATTTTTTTGCAATGGTTTGAGATGTTAAATCTGTTTCTGAGTATTTGTAGGGTTTTGAATGGGAATTTAAAAGAGTCGGGTCATGGAATATTGACAGTACATTTTAAACAGATCCCCAGGAATAATTACTTTTTAAATTTTATTTTTATTTCAACAGTTTTTGGGTACAGGTGGTTTTCAGTTACATGGATGTGTTCTGAGATTCTAGTGGGTCCGTCACCTGAGCAGTGTACACTGTACCTAATATGTAGTCTTTCATCCCTCATCCCCCTCCCATCCTTTCCTCTCTGAGTCCCCAGCGTCAATTATATCATTCTTAGGCCTTTTTATCGGTGTAGCTTATCTCTAACTTTTAAGTGAGAACATATGATTTTTGGTTTTTCATTCCCGAGTTACTTCACTTAGAATAATGGCCTCCAGCTCCCTCTAAGTTGCTGCAAAAGGCATTATTTTGTTCCTTTTTATGGCTGAGTGGTATTCCGTGGTGTATATATACCACGTTTTCTTTGTCTACTCGTTGGTTGATGGGCACTTAAGTTGGTTCCACGTCTTTGCACTTGTGAATTGTGCAAACATGCATGTGCATGTGCCTTTTTCACAGGATGACTTCTGTTCCTTTGTGTAGATACCCAGTAGTGGGGCTGCTGGACTGAATGGGAGTTCTACTTTTATTTCTTTAAGGACTCTTCATACTGTTTTCCACAGTGGTTATGCTCACTTACATTCCCCACTAGGAGAGTAAGAGTGTTTCCTTTTCACCACATTCCTACCAACATCTACCGTTTTTTGACTTTTTAATTATGGCCATTTTTGCAAGAGGAAGGTGGTGTCTCATTGTGATTTTGATTTGTATTTGTTTGATGATTAGTGATGCTGAACATTTTTTCATGTGTGTCTGCTTGTGTATCTTTTGAGAAGTGTCCATTTATATCTTTTGCCCACTTTTTAATAGGGTTATTTATATTTTGCATGTTGATTTAAGTTCCTTACAGATGCAGATATTAGACCTTTGTCAGATGCATAGTTGGGGAATATTTTCTCTCATTTCATAGGTTGTATATTTACTCTGTTAATAATGTCTTTCGCTGTGAAGAAGCTCTGTCATTCAATTAGGTCCCACTTGTCAACTTTTGTTGGTGTTGCAATTGATTTTGAGGACGACCTAGTCATAGATTGTTTCCCAAGGCCAATGTCCTGAATGGTATTTCCTAGGTTTTCTTTTAGAGTTCTTATGGTTTGAGGCCTTACACTTAAATCTCTGATCCAGTGGCAAGACCCACCATCTTCAAGGACTCATCTCACGTGTAACAACATCCACAGGCTCAAAGTAAAGGGATGGAGAAATATCTACCATGCAAAAGTCACCATTTTTTTTTTTTTTTTTTTTTTTTGGAGATGGGCTCTGTCACCGAGGCTGGAGTGCACTGGTGTGATTATGGCTCGCTGCACTCAACCTCCCAAGTGATCCTCCCACCTCAACCTCCTGAGTAGCTGGGACTACAGGCATGCACCACCACACCTGGTTAATTTTTGTATTTTGTGGTAGAGATGGGGTTTTGCCACGTTGCCCAGGCTGATTTCCAACTCCTGTGCTCAAACAATCCACTTGCTTCAGCCTTCCAAAGTGCTAGGATTACAAGTCTGAGCCACCGCGTCCAGCCCAGGCATTGCTATTCTTAGATAAAACAAATGGTAAAGCAATAAAAATTAAGTAGGACAATGAAGGCCATTATATAATGATGAAGGGTACAATCCAACAAGACTTAACTATCTTAAATATATATTCACCCAACGTTGGAACAACCGATTCATAACACAAGTTCTTCTTGGCCTACAACATGACTTAGACAACCACACAGTTGAGGGAGACCTCAACTCCCCACTGACAGCGTTAGACAGATCATTAACACAGAAAATTAACAAGGAAACTGGACTTAAACTCAACACTTGACCAGTTAGACCTAATAGTTTTCTACAGAACACTCCACTCAACAACCACAGAATATACATTTTTCTCATCTGCACAGGTAAGACTCTCTAAGATCAATCGCATGCTCAGTCATGAAGCAAGCCTCAATAAATTTAAAACAAACCTGGACGGGTGCGGTGGCTCATACCTGTAATCCCAACACTTTGGGAGGCCGAGGCGGGCGGATCATGAGGTTAGGAGTTCGAGACCATCCTGGCTAACACAGTGCAACCCCATCTCTACTAAAAATACAAAAAAAAAAAAAAATTAGCCAGGGGTGGTGGTGGGCGCCTGTAGTCCCAACTACTCGGGAGGCTGAGGCAGGAGAATGGCATGAACCCGGGAGGTGGAGCTTGCAGTGAGCCGAGATTGCGCCACTGCACTCCAGGCTGGGCGACAGAGCGAGACTGTCTCAAAAAAAAAAAAAAAAAAAAAGAATGTAAATTTATTTTCTGATAGTTCTAGAGGCTAGGAAATCCAAGATGAAGGTGCTAGCAGGTTAGGGCCTGGTTTCTCTGCTTCCAAGGTGGTGCCTTGAGCACTGTGTCTTCCAGAGAGGAGAAACACCGTGTTCTCACATGGCAGGAGGTGGGGGCAGGGAGACAGAGATAGAAACTGCTTCCATGGGCCCTTTTTATAGTGGCGTTTCCATTCATGAGCTATACACCTCCCATTGGTCCCCACCTGCCCATACTGTTCCATTGGGCATTAAGCTTTCAACACATGAGTTTTGAGAGATACATTCAAACCATAGCATCCCTTTGTTATTTAGGAGTGTGACATTTAATTTTTCTATGTTTGTGAATTTCCCAAATGGTCTTCTGTTATTGAATTCTAATTTCTACTGTGGCCACAGAATGTACTTTATATGATTTCAGTCTTTCTAAATTTATTGAGGTTTGTTTTATGGCCTAGCACATGGTATGTCTTGGAGAATGTACTGTGTGTGCTTGAGAAGAATGTGTGTTCTGCCTCTGTTGGTTGGAGTGTTCTGTAGATATCTGTTAGTCTGGTTGGATTAACAATGTTCACATCTTCTATATCCTTGTTAATCTTTCATCTAGCTGTTGTATCTGTTCTCGAAAGTTGGGTATGGAAGGCTGGGCATGGTGGCTCACGCCTGTAATCCCAGCACTTTTGGAGGCAGAGGCAGGCAGATCACGAGGTCAGCAGATCGAGACCATCCAGGCTAACACGGTGAAACCCCATCTCTACTAAAAATACAAAAAAAAATCAGCCCGGCATGGCGGCGGGCACCTGTAGTCTCAGCTACTTGGGAGGCTGAGGCTGGAGAATGGTGTGAACCCCAGAGGCGGAGCTTGCAGTGAGCCAAGATAGAGCTCCATTGCACTCCAGCCTGGGCGACAGAGGGAGACTCCATCTCAAAAAAAAAAAAAAAAAAAAGAAAGTTGGGTATGGAAGTCTCCAACTATTACTGTTCAATTGTCCATTTCTCCTTTCAGTTCTGTGGTTCATTTTTGCATCATATTGGGTCTCTTTCGTTAGTTGCATATGTTTATAACCGTTGTGTCTTCCTGATGAATTGACACTTTGTTCATTATAAAATGTCCCTCTTTATCACTTGTAACATTTTAATTTATTTTTTATTATTTATTTATTTATTTATTTAATTTTTGGGACAGGGTCTCTTGCTCTGTCACCCATGCTGGAGTGCAGTGGTGCCATCTCTGCTCACTGCAAGCTCCGCCTCCCAGGTTCAAGTGATTCTCCTGCCGCAGCCTCCCTAGTAGCTGAGATTACAGGCACTTGCCACCAACCCAGATAATTTTTGTATTTTTGGTAGAGATGGGGTTTCACCATGTAGGCAAGGCTGGTCTTGAACTCCTGAGCGTAAGTGATCCACCCACCTCCGCCTCCCAAAGTGCTGGGATTACAGGCGTGAGCCACCACGTCCGGCCTCTTGTAACATTTTTACAGTCTATTTTGTCTCATATTGATATAGCCATTCCAGCTTGCTATGGTTGCTGTTTTCACGGTATGTCTTTTTCCCATCTTTTTACTTTCAGCCTGTTTGTATCTTTGAATCTAAAGTGTATTTCCTGTAGACAGCATATAGTTTGTTTTTTAACCAAGCCTGACATCTCTGCCTTCTAATTGGATTGTTTAATCTGTTCACATTTAAGGATTTTGTTATATGGTTGGATCTGTGTCTGTCATTCATGTTTTCTATGTCTCATGTCTTTCTTTGTTCTCTCCTACCTTATTTACTACATTCTTTTGCATTCAGTAAATATTTTCCAGTGTCACATTTTGGTTACTTTAATAATTCTTTAACTATATTTTTCAGTTCTTTTCTTTGTGGTTCCTCAAGAGAGGGGATGAGAAATGCTGGCAGCCCATGCCTCCCAGTGTGATATGGTGAGCTTGAGTGGCAGCTGAGCAAGGAGGGAACCACCTACTCTTAACCCGACCTACCTGGAGCAGAGCCTCCATCACTCTGAGCTGGGGGAAGGAGGAGAAGGGAGTGGGTTGTAGCTCAATATCACAGAGACTCATGGTTCTTTCTGAATTTTTGTAGATTTTCTAGAATAAATATTTCTTCATTTGCTGTATGCCCTTAGGACAATTTCCAGACACTTTATTTATTTATTTATTTATTTATTTATTTATTTATTTAGAGACAAAGCCTCACTTTATCACCAGGCTGGAGTGTACTGGCACGATCTCGGCTCAGTGCAGCCTCGAACTTCTGGGCTCAAGGAATCCTCCCACCTCAGCCACCTGAGTAGCTAGGACTGCGGGTGCATGCCACCTTGTCTGGCTAATTTTTAAAAATTAGGTGCATGCCACTGTGCCCAGCTAATTTTTGTATTTTTAGTAGAGACAGGGTTTCACCATCTTGGCCAGGCTGGTCTCGAGCTCCTGACCTCGTGATCCGCCCGCCTCGGCCTCCCAAAGTGCTGAGATTACAGGCGTGAGCTACCACACCCAGCCTGCACCCAGCCAATTTTAACCTTTTAAAGAGCTGGTGAGAGCTGTGGCTCTTGCCTTTTAATTTTAAGTTCTGCTGATACAGACAAGACTTGACTCTTTTTAGAGGCAGGTCTTCAAAGGTTGCGTCGTCGTCCCCCAGCTCCCTGCCGCAGTACACTCTGCTTCGATTCTAAGTCGGGGAGGAGGAGGTTCACCCAGATTGGATCACAGCTTTAATTTGCATTGCTTACAAAATGGATGTCCCCGCAAGCTGACAGAAGCTGTTGTGTGCATGTGTGCACGTGTGTGTGTGTGAATGTACACAACAATTTAAACAGATAGTGGCAGACTATATTTAAAGCCTACAGACTGGCTGTTCATTAAGGAGAAGATGGGAGCAGACACTCACTGGGTTCCCAGGGGAAGCTGACTTTGATGTTGCCCAGGAGCTGGGCTGAGTCTGTGAGGAATAACCAGAGACAGGATTTACCAGGAGAGGCTGTTTTCTGGACGACGTTGAAATATGTGATGCCATTGACTTTGAAACCCGCAGATCATTCTCTTTGTCTTAAGAAAAGTTCTTTCAACATCTTCAAAACAATCTGTCCAGTGGTGGGGGCTGGGGAGAGCGTTCGCAGCATGGCCACTGCGTGCAATCCCCGACCATCCCTGGAGGACCGATTCTCGCTCAGAACCCTTGTTCCTCCTCCTCCCGGCCCCTGTCCTGGTGTTGGTTCCTTTTCTGTGGTGTCCACACATTTCCTTTGCGTTCTGGTTCTGCGTGGGAAGAACCCTGCAGCTTGGGAGCTTTCCATCCATCTCTATTTTTTTTGGTTGGTGACTCTTGGCGGCTCTCTGTGGGGACATTGGTGCTCTCCAAGAAGGTACTTCTTGAATCAGTGACCGACTTCTTCCCCTATAGGTTAATGTCACCAGTTTTAAAACTTCCTACAAATGGAATCATATAGTCTGTGCTTTATTTGCATCTGGCGTCTTTCATGAAATTGTATCACTCATGAGATTCATGTGTGCTGCCCTGCGTAGCAGTAGTTCCATTGTCATTGCTGTGGAGTATTGCACTGCACACACAGACAATTTGTTTCTCCAGTTACCATTGATGGATATTTGCATTGTTTTGAAGTTATTGTGAGTAAGGCTGCTGTGAACATTAGTGTACAAGTCTTGTAGTGGACATGGATTTCATCTCCTGTGGACAAATACCGAAGACAGAATTGATGGTTGTTAGTTAGGTATATTGGTCTGCTTGTGTGGCCATAGCAGAATGCCATAGACTAGGTAACTTAACAGAAATTTCTCACAGTTCTGGTCTGGGCAGTCCAAGGTCAAGGTGCTGGCAAGGTGGATTTCATTCTGAGGCCTCTTCTCTTGGTTTGTGCCTACAAGTTGTCTCCCTATGTGTGTACCTGTGATTACTTCTTTGTGTAGGTGCATGGTGTAGTGAATTCCTACAATTTTATGTTGCCATGGAATCCATTTTTGTTGTTGTTGTTTTTTGAGACAGAATCTCACTCTGTCACCTACACTGGAAGTCAGTGGCGTGATCTTGGCACACTACAACCTCTGCCTCCCGAGTTCAAGCGATTCTGCCTCAGCCTCCCGAGTAGCTGGGATTACAAGCATGCACCACCACGCGTGGCTAATTTTTACATTTTTAGTAGAGACAGGGTTTCACCATGTTGGCCAGGCTGGTGTCAAACTCCTGACCTCAAGTGATCCATCCACCTTAGCCTCCCAAAGTGCTGGGATTACAGTCATGAGCCACCATGCCCGGCCCCCGTTTTGAATTTAAGTTGGACTTTCTCATACCAGAAGCATGGCATAATTACCCTTAACACCATTTCCAGTTCTTTAACTCCTTCCAGTTCCTCAAAGTGGTCAACTCAGATATCTGCCATGTACAGCCACCTCCCAGGCACCACCTCCCTGGAGGGGAGCTGGATACAACGTACTTGACTCACCCTCTGACCCCTCACCCTGCGTGGTCTGCCCTTGACTCACCCTCTGACCCCTCACCCTACGTGGTCTGCCCAGATACACCACAGTGCCCACTTCCCAGTCACAGCATGATCACCTGGAGCTCGTGCCTGCTTGCTCTAAACAATCAATTAGAGCTTCCTATGGGAAACTTGCTGGGGTCACACCCTGGACCCCAATAAAGGCTTTAGTCCTAGAGGTCCTCTCTCTTTCAGTCCCCACCTGCTGGCTAAACGTGGGTATCCTGAATGGCTCCCCACTTCCTGCTGGCCCTGCGAGGCATGGTGCCCTCCTCTCTCTGGGATCTGTGAGTAATCAACTACTCCTGCTATTTCATGTGTTTTATTGCACACACTGTGTCTCACCTGACTGACACACCCGAACCCAACCCTCCTCATCAGGGCTGCCCTAGAGAGTGGCTGTCTTGGTAGGAATAAATTGAACACAGGTCAGACAACAGCTACAAGGGCATCGTCCTCTATATACAAGCTTCCTGTGAAAGGGACATCTGTCACAGGTTGAGCACTTGGGCATGAGGCCACCTGCCAGGATCAAGAAGGATCCTGTGAAAGGTAAACTGTAAACATTCCTTTTATGAGCAACATGCTTGGTGCCCTGTGAGGGCAGGGTTATTGTTTGTAGCCACTCTCCAGAAAGAGATGCCTCAAGACCACATTAGAAAGAAATTACAACACAGGAAGAGAGAGGGCAAGTTCTCTGGAGTCTCTTTTTATAAGGATGCTAATCCCATTGCAAGGGCCCCATCTTCATGACCTCCTTTAACCCTAATTATCTCCCAAAAGCCCTGTCTCCAAAACCATCACAGTGGAAGTTGGGGCTTCAAGATATGAACTTAGGAGGGGACACAAACATTCTGTCCATAGCAGTAGGTGATGTTTAACTCTATTCCAAACTGCTATAGTTTTCCAAGGTGGTTGTATCACTGTACACCCCCAAGAGCAGTGTATAAGAGTTCTGACCGCTCATATACTCACCAGCACTTGCTAGTGGCATCTTTTTCATTTTAGCCTGACTATATAGTGGTATCTCATTGTAGTTTTAATTTGCATTTCCCGGAAGACAGATGACGTTGAGCACCTTTTCATGTGTTTATGGGCCATTTGTATATATTCCTTTGCAAAATGTCTGCTCAAGTCTCTTGCAAATTAACATCTCAGTCTTAGAAGTCTCTGTGAAACATGCTTATTTGGTAGGAAAGGATACAAGCAGGTCTGAAGACAGTCGAGAATTGCAGTGATGCTGGATGTCCCCAAGTAGACAGAGCAATTTCTTATTCTCCCAGCTGTAAATTAAATTTCATTAAACCTCTAATTGCCGTATAAACTTAAACTGTCCCTTAGCCGCTTGTTCAAGTTAACTCAACGTAGCCTCTCTTAACTTTCTCCTGGCAAATTTACTTTTCCCAAATGAGGGTTCTGCTGGTGGGAAAGGCCCCTGAAAGGCCCAGCTGAATTTTATCAAACTCAGTTCAGTTATTTCATGTTGGTTAAGAACTTTCATCTCAAGTAATTTACCGGAGGAGAGGCTCTGCATTCTGCTGATATGTTTCTCAATGTTTAGCTGTGGACCTGAGCTGGGGCACAGCCTTGTGCCTTCAGATGGTCCCAGTTGGGAGCAAATTGCTCTACCACCCGTAAGACCTCAGTGTGTCACGTTCCGCTTCATCCCACGGTTCCGATTCTGCAATCATCTTTTACACTTTTCTTATATGACATTTAACAGAAATTGTCTAATAATATAACAAATAAGGACCTGAACCTGTAATCATATTACAGGTTCAGCATATCATTATACCCATGCCAGTTAGTAACACTAATTGAAATCCAAATCTAATCTTCTTGAAGAAGACTAAAGCTATTAGGTTTGAGCAACACGTTTGTAATCGAGCCAGTTCTAACAAGTGGTCCACACTTACTCTATTCTCATTCATGTTATTATTGACATTATCTTAATACTTTCCATTTCTTGGTTTGGCAATACATCAGTCTGAGAAATATGACTTAGTGGTGCAAATAACACGGACTTATGCTGGTCTTAGTCACCTCCAGTGAAGAATCCTATGGGTGGCAACATTTCAATCTTCGCTGCCTGTTTGAGACGATATGATTCTTTTTTCTTCTGAGACGGAGTCTCACTCTGTTGCCCAGGCTGGAGTGCAGTGGTGCCATCTCGGCTCACTGCAACCTCTGCCTCCTGGGTTCAAGCAATTCTCCTGCCTCAGCCTCCCTAGTAGCTGGGACTATAGGTGCGTGCCACCATGCCCAGCTAATTTTTTGTATTTTTAGTAGAGATGGGGTTTCACCGTTTTAGCCAGGATGGTCTCAACCTCCTGACCCCATGATCTGCCCACCGTGGCCTCCCAAAGTGCTGGGATTACAGGTGTGAGCCACCACGCCCAGCCCAATATAATATATTTTAAGCAGGACAAATTCATAAGAGTCTTAAGAGCTCCTTTCATTAACAAACACCAAGTAGCAATAGCTTGTTTAGCAAAGACCAAGTAGCAGCAAATTGTGTTATGTTAATGTCTTGCTACCACAGAATATTCTCTGCAAATATTTCAAGTTAACCTTTAAAGTTTTCCCCTGCAGCTGAATGCCTAAAGCAGCACATTCACAAAGCGCATGATTCTGTGTTGGAGGAACAGAGCCAGGGTGTTCCCAAGGCTTCCAGACACCAGGCAGCTATGACCCACACAGAAGGACAAATCTGAGCAACAATCTTTAAGTTGAGGTAAACGTTTTCTGTCCCAAGAAGGAGAGGTTAATAAATATGGTTAATAAACATACCCATGGGTCTTAACATGAAGAGCTTAGATGATGGATTAGAGCTTCAAAGATTAGATAGGTGTAACTTTTGGGTGATCATCCTCCTGACCAAGTGTTCAGAAATATCTTCTGGCTCAGCAGCCACAGCTTCACCTATTACATTGCCTCACACTATCACATTGCTTCAATGATGTTTGGATTAAATGCAGGGAGCACAGCATGTGAGATTGTCTGTGTCAGACATTGTCCATCAGTGAGAGTAGTCTTTTAAGAAGCACATACAGGCTGGGCTTGTGGATCACACCTGTAATCCCAGCACTTTGAGGGGCTGAAGAGGGAGGATCACTTGAGCCTAGGAGCTCGGGACCAGCCTGGGCAACATAGTGAGAACCTGTCTCTTAAAAGAACAAAAAACAAAAAAAAACCACACACACCCCCCTAAAAATTAGCTGGATGTGGTGGGGGTGGTGTGTGTCTGTAGTCCCAGCTATGCAGGAGGCTGAGGTGGGAGGATTGCTTGAGTCCAGCCGTTGGAGGCTGCAGTGAGCCATGATTGTGCCACTATACTCCAGCCTGGGTGATGGAGAGAGACCCTGATTCCAAAAAAGGAAAATCTAAATTAAAAAACAAACAAAAAAAAGCAGCTAAGCGCAGTGTCTTACACCGGTAATCCCAGCACTTTGGGAGGCCGAGGTGGGTGGATCACCTGAGGTCAGAAGTTTGAGACCAGCCTGGTCGACATGGTGAAACCCTGCCTACACTAAAAATACAAAAATTAGCCAGGTGTGGTGGCACACACCTGTAATGCCAGCTACTCGGGAGGCTGAGGCAGGAGAATCGCTTGAACCTAGTAGGCGGAGGTTGCAGTGAGCCAAGATCCCTCCACTGTGCTCCAGCCTAGGTGACAGGGTGAGACTCTGTCTCAAGAACAAAAACAAAAAAAGCACGCACAGGTATTCAGCAGCTGTTTCTTCTGATGTGTCAAGTGACAGCTCAGGTAAGAAGAACTCACGCTGGCTTTGAAGCCCTAAGCCCTACCAGACCCACTATCTTATAGTAACCTATGAATATAGTGAGTGTGGTTTTCAGTGTTCCTGCAAGGGGCTTGCCAAGTTCAGATACAGTTTACCAACCAGGAGTCAGGCTTGTCATAAGCAGTGTTGCCTAGTAGTGAAACTGATGAGTGTTTCTAGCAGGTTACCAAGGCAATCAGAACTATAAATAAGTTGCTTTAGGAACATAGTTGACGTGCTTTCTTGGTAGGTAGGGGAACTGCGGTAGTAAGCTAACCCAAGGTCAAATTGTTTTACAGAGATGGATAAAGGATTTTGTTAACTCATTTCCTATCCCTATCATCTATCCCCTTGATCTTTGGTTAATTTTTTTTTAATTAAACTTTGATTTTTGAGATAATTGTTGGTTCACATGCTGGTATAATAAATAATCAAAGACATCCTATGTATGCTTCACCCAGCTTCTGCAATGGCAACATCTTGCAAAACTATAGTGTAATAACACACTGCTTATTTTTTTAAATATAGAAAAGAATATAAGTTAATATACTCATGATCACCAGGATTTGAATTATAAAATGGGCCATTAACATCCCACTTATTCCTTAAATAATTAGGTCGTTGTGGCCAGGTGCAGTGCCTCAGGTCTGTAATCCCAGCACTTTGGGAGGCCGAGGCGGGAGGATTACTTGAGGCCAGGAGTTAGAGACCAGCCTGGCTAACATGGTAAAACCCTGTCTCTACTAAAAATACAAAAATTAGCCAGGCATGGTGATGTGCACCTGTAATCCCAGCTACTCAGTAGGCTGAGGCAGGAGAATCACTTGAACCTGGGAGGCGGAGGTTGCAGTGAGCCGAGATTGCGCCACTGTACTCCGTACTCTAGCCTGCCTGGGCAACAGAGCGAGAGTCCACCTCAAAAATTTAAAAAGAATTAAAAAAAAAATTAGCCAGGTGTGGTGGCGCATGCGTGTAGTCCCAGCTACTCGCGAGGCTGAGGCAGGAGAATCACTTGAGCTCAAAGGCAGAGGTTGCAGTGAGCTGAGATCACATCACTCATTCCAGTCTGGGTGACAGAGGGGGACTCTGTTTCAAAAGAAAAAAAAGAAAGGTCATTGTTTGGGTCAAAATAATTTCATAGTATCCATAGTATTTTTGTAAGCAGTGTTATCTAATAGTATGACAGTGCTTAACATGCAAAGTGTAGTATTAATTGACAGAAATAACATATCAAACCAGAGTATAGTATCACTTGTTTTCTAAAAATAAATGCTATTGTGTACACTTGAGGATTACAACATATTATGGGATACATATAGCTAGTACAGCAGTTACTGTAATGAAGCTGATTAACATATCTATCATCTCACGTAGTTACTTTTTTGTGACGAGCAGCTAGAATCTATCGAACACAAATCCCTAGTACATTACAATCGTATTAACCTTAGCCCTCATGTTGTACATTAGATGTCTAGACTCGTTCATCCCACATATCTGCTATTTTGTGTCCTTTGACTCACATCTCCCCATTTCCTCGATCACTTTCATACTTCAGCAAGTGTTTCTTTTAGGTATCTCAAAATTAACATGTTTTTAAAATAGGATATTTTGTCTTATCTCCCAAATCAGTTTTACCCATATTTAAAAAAATAGATTGTATTTTTTAGAGCTGTTTTTAGGTTTACAGGAAAATGGAGCCAGAAGTACAGAGAGTTCTCATAGCCCCTTGTCCCACACACTCACAGCCTACCTGTTAACATCCTGCAAGATTAGTACATTTGAGTGGCCAGGTGCTGTGACTAATGCCTGTAATCCCAGCACTCTGGGATGCTGAAGGCGGGAGGCTCACTTGAGCCTAGGAATTGGAAACCAGCCTGGGCAAAATGGCGAGACCGCATGTGCTTGTAGTCCCAGGTACTCAGGAGGCTGCAGTGGGAGGATTGCTTGAGCCTCGGAGATCAAAGCTTCGAGAGCAGTGATCAAATCACTGTACTGCAGGCTGGGTGACAGAGCAAGACCCAGGAAAAATAAAAAGAGAGAGGGAGAAAAGAAATAAAGAGAAAGAAAGAGAAGGAAAGGGAAGGAAAAGAAAGAAAGAAAAAGAGAAAGGAAGGAAGGAAAAAGAGAAAGAAAAAGAAGGAGAAAAGAGGGAGGAAGGATAGGGAAGGAAGGAAGGGAGGAAGAAAAAGAAATAAAGAGGTACATTTGTTGCAACTGAATAACCAACACTGACATGTCAGTATCACCCAAAGTCCTGTTGACATTAGGACAGGACTTGGTGTTGGCTTACTTTTTTTTGTTTGTTTTTGTTTTTGTTTTTCTGAGACAGAGTCTCGCTCTGTCACCAGGCTGGAGTGCAGGGGCACGATCTCGGCTCACTGCAAGCTCTGCTTCCCAGGTTCAAGCGATTCTCCTGCTTCGGCCTCCCTAGTAGCTGGGACTGCAGGCACGCGCCACCACATCCAGATAATTTTTGTATTTTTTTAGCAGAAACAGGGTTTCACCATGTTGGCTGGGATGGTCTCGATCTCCTGACCTTGTGATGCGCCTGCCTCGGCCTCCCAAAGTGCTAGAATAATTACAGGCGTGAGCCACCACGCCCGCTGTTGGCTTACTTTTAAAAAAAAATCTCAGTTAATGACAACTCTGTCCTTTCAGCTACTCGGGTCAGAAATTTGAGATTCTCTTTGGTCTCACTCTTTTCTCACACTCCATGTTGATCCAGTAATAAAGTAGGATGTTTCCAGATCTGGAAGCACAACTCTCCCCAGTCCGAAAAGAACGAAGTTATGTTCACATCTCGCTGGTTCATATTGTTAAAATACCCAGTCAATATTTTTATAGTCTCTCAAAAGCCTATTTTAATTACTACTTCAGGAAAGCTTTTCTTTTTTTAGTTTGCATCAGCACCATTTTTCCTTACATGGCAGCACAGATCATTGGTTATATTCCAGCCAACTTCGCCAGACTTCTTGCTGGGCTGTTCAGGTTACCGCCATCCACAGAAGCTCAGGCACCTTTGCCACGTTCCCACCCGTGGTGCCAGGGTCACATCACACTGAGCAGCTGTTTGAGTCAGGCCATTCTGCCGTCCACCCAGCACTGTGTGCAGCTGGCAGACATCTGCTCTTTCTCTCTTGCATGCCCTGCATGGAGAGTTCTTGGGTGCTTCTCCTAGTGGATTGGAGGTTAGAGAGGACCCGGCCATTTCATATATAGCACACCACACAATGGTGTCCTAGGCCTCCTGCCCTTCTTCCTCTTCGTCCGCATGCCTGGTCCTTTGGGCTTGCACATTGCAGGGTGGGAATGATGGGGGTGAGATGTAGTTGCCAGGTGCCACTCTCCGAGGCTTTCACATGGGGATGAGCCCAAGCGTGACCAGAACCACCTTGTGGTTGCCCCCCATCCTTTTCTTTTTTTTTTTTTTTGAAATGGAGTCTTGCTCTGTCACCCAAGTTGGAGTACAGTGGTGTGATCTTGTCTCACTGCAACCTTCGCCTCCCAAGCTCAAGCAATTCTCCCACCTCAGCCTCCCGGGTAACTGGGATTACAGGTGCCCACCACAACGCCTGGCTAATTTTTATATTTTTAGTAGAGACGGGGTTTCGCCATGTTGGCCAGGCTGGTCTCCAACTCCTGACCTCAGGTGATCCACCCGCCTCGGCCTCCCAAAGTGCTGGGACTAGCACCTTGCCCAGCCCATGATATAGCCTTTACACTGTACTAATGAGGCAATAATTCTTTGTCCTCTTATCATCAAAGATTGCATGATTTCCACCTCTGGTCACTATCTGATCTCACCCACTAATCGGATGAACTGTGGGATCAGTTTGGAGCTCAGCTTGCTACTCCATGGATCCCAGAATATAATATCAAAATAATATCAATTCCAGGCTGGGTGCGGTGGCTCACTCCTGTAATCCCAGCACTTTGGGAGGCCAAGGAGGGTGGATTACCTAAGGTCAGGAGTTCAAGACCAGCCTGCCCAGCATGGTGAAACCCCATCTCTACTAAAAAAATTACAGAAATTAGCTGGGCTTGGTGGCACACACCTGTAATCCCAGCTACTTGGGAGGCTGATGCAGAAGAATTGCTTGAACCTGGAAGGTGGAGGTTGCAGTGAGCTGAGATCATGCCACTGCACTCCAGCCTGGGCGACAGCATGAGACTCCATCTCAAAAAAAAAAAAAAAAAAAACAAATCAATGCCAAATATTTCTACAAATGTGGGTTAGTTGACAGCAAAGGGTTTCAGCCTGTCTAAAGAGAGTCAGGAGTTTGCTGATGCTGGAGGCCCCAATTAGAGCTGTGGCTTTCTGTTTCCCTAGCCATCAATTCAACTTCATTGAACCTCATGACAGTCTATGAACTTAAACTGCCTTTTGGGCAGATTTACTTATAGTTAACTTCCCTTAGCTTTTTCTTGACAAATTTATTTGTCTTTTCTGGGCATCACAGATGAGAAGCACTCTGAAATGCCTGTTTGGATTGTATACATTAGCAGGTGCATGTGCACTGTTACTGAATATTTCATGTTGTTTATGAACTTTTACTAGCAATCATTCACTGTGAGCAGGCGCTATGTATGTCCAGTGTTGGCATAGCTTCATGTCCTTCAGGGACCTGAATCACAGCTAGTCTGCCCTGACCCAAATCACAAGGAGTCCTTTGCCCATTTTTATTACATTGTTTGTCTTAAATATTTGTGTGACTTGTTTATATATTCTAGGTAAAAATCCTCCCAGAATACATTATATAAACAATTTTTATATTATATATATTATTCATATATATATATATATATATATATATATATATATATATATACTCGTATTCATTCTCCTGGTCTGTGGCTTGCTTTTGCCTTTTCATTTTCTTAAGGATATCTTTTTTTTTTTTTTTTTAATTTCCAGACGAAGTCTCACTCTTGTCCCCCAGGACAAGAGTGCAATGGCGCGATCTCGGCTCACTGCAACCCTGCAACCTCCGCCTCCCGGGTTCAAGCAATTCTCCTGCCTCGGCCTCCTGAGTAGCTGGAATTAGAGGCACCTGCCACCACGCCCGGCTAATTTCTGTATTTTAAGTAGAGACAGGGTTTCACCATGTTGGCCAGGCTGGTCTTGAACTCCTGACCTCAGGTGATTCACCCATCTTGGCCTCCCAAAGTGCTGGGATTACAGGTGTGAGCCACCATGCCAGGCCAAGGATATCTTTTGGTGAAAAGAAAATTTTAATTTTGATAGAGTCCAATTTATCACTTTGTTCTTTGATAGTTAGAAGTTATGTGTCCTATTTAGGAAACCTTTACACCCACTAAGGTTGTAAAGATTTTCTCCTTTCTTTTCTTCTAGAACCTTTACAGTTTTGCCCCTTACATGTGATCCATTTTGAGGTAATGTTCATGTATGACATGAGGTAGGGATTGAAGTTTACTTTTTCCGCATGTGGAAATCCAGTTGTTCCAGCACCATTTTTTGCAATGACTGCCCTTTTCCTCAATTAATTGCATTGAGGTCTTTGTCAAAAATAAATTATCTAGGCCGGGCGTGGTGGCTCATGCCTGTAATCCCAGCACTTTGGGAGGCCAAGGCCGGTGGATGACTTGAGGTCAGGAGTTTGAGACCAGCATGGCCAACATGGTGAAACCCCATCTCCTCTAAAATATATGTGTGTGTGTATATATATACACACACACACACAAATTAGCTGGGCGTGATGGCGTGTGCCTGTAGTTTCAGCTACTTGGGAGGCCAAGGCAGGAGAATCACTTGAAGCCAGGAGGCAGAGGTTGCAGTGAGCTGAGATCACGCTATTGCACTCCAGCTTGGGCAACAAAGTGAGATTCTGTCTCAAAAAAATAAAAATTAATTGGATGTCCACTTCTGGCTAGAATGGAGTAACAGTGAACTTATCTTCTGGCTGAAAATGGACAAAATGTATGAGTTGATGGTTTTAGGACACTGGGCATCAAACTGTAAAGGACAGTAATTCCTGAGAAAAAGGAAAGAAACGAAGTGAGCCCTCCACTTGCATCAACTGATGAGAGTCCCTTAAATGCCTGGCTCCAAAAAGGCGACAAAAAGGGGCTTTATCTCTTTAAGGGTTTGGAGAAGCTACTGTAGCGAAGTGGGATGAAACCAAGGCTGATGTCTGCTTTGGTCCCTCAGAATACTATTCAGATCACCCAGTACGTATTATACAATCCCCAGATTTGCAAGACAAGGTCCTGGCTTTCTGATCTGGCAGCAGCCTGACCCTCCAGTGGGGCTGAGAAATGGTGGGAGGAGGGGTGGTAGCTGATTATGCATGCTGCTCTCGTACCAAAGCGCAGTAGCCTCCCCCTTCGTGAAGCACTCCACTGGTTGTTCTAAGGGTCCAATCAGGTTCCAGGATTCCAAAATCATTGATTCCATTTGCTCTTTCAAGGTCAGTCATTGCTTTGGTGGGGGTGCTGACCCTGGAGCTCCCTACTCTGCCCTTTTGCATGATATCCCTCTCTCCATTCTGGCTTGCCCTGTAGAACTACTTCCTCAAGCCTACCACCAACGTGCTGCTCCATCGTCTATCACCGCTGGGCCTTCCTCCTCAGTCAGGCAAACTGGAAGGAACATGTAAGTGACAGGCTTCTGTGTACTACCCTCAGTATTTTTGTAGTTTTTAAATAAATGAAACTGCTTTTTTTCTGATTATAAGAGAAAAAACACTCCCTTAAAATATTTGGATGCACAAACTTTATATGAAAATTACCCTTCGCTAAGAGATACTCATCCTTAAGATTTTATATATAACTATTAACATTTTTCTGTGCATGATTATGTGTACAGAGTCGTTTATTTTGTCCTTTTACTTGCTTTTTTAAAAAACTGAGTGTATCTTTGACATCTTTCCATGTTAGTAAGTATAGATTGTCATGATTTTTAAGAACAAAATAATAATTTATTTAACACTTCCCAAACCAATGGACATCTAAATCTTTTCTTTTTATTATTATCAATATCGTATAATGAACATCGTAACAACTTGTTATGTTTCTTTAATGATAAACTCCTAAAATATGATTTGTTGAGCCAGGTTTTTTTGGCTTTGGTAAAAATTGCTACATTTTCTTTCAGAAAGTTTGTCCCAGTTTACTCTCCCATTGAAAGTGGTGAGGTCCCTTATCCCCCTGGCAGGACATGCAGCAGGAGTATGGCTGCTCCAGCCCGTAGGGGGAGCATGCAGACGGGCAGATGCAGAGGCTGTGGGGAGTGCTTTTGGGCTCCGGCCCCATGGCGGTGCCTAGGGTGGGGTGTCTACGACTCCTGAAGCCCACGTGGACATGTGTTACAGTGTGTTCTTTCAGCTTTGCCATCTGCAGACGGCTTGTGTTAATCAGCTCAATAAACCCTCCGCCTTTTTGCAAGGGCAGGGGGCCAGTGTGACAGCCTGAGTTCTTGCCCAGTGTACCAGAAAAATCAGATCACACGTGGGCTGAAAGGATGAGTGCACGGTTTTACTGTGTGGCGGAGGTGGCTCTCAGTGCGATGGATGGGGAGCTGGACGTGGGGATGGAGTGAGAAGGTGGTCTTCCCCTAGAGTCAGCCCGACCATCCGCGGCTGAACTCCCCTCAGTGTCTAGACGTCCTCTTCTCCCTTTCTCTGCTGTGTCATTCCACCATTGCTGGTCTGCTGGTGTTTGCTGGTCTGTTCCTCTGCTCCTCTTGACATTCAGCCACTTCTGTCTGTACCCCCTAAGGTCTTGGGTTTATATGGGCACAGGATGGGGGGCATGGAGGGCCAAAAGGCAACTTTTTGGGCATGAAAACAGAAATGCCTGTCCTCACTTAGGGCTGCAGGTCTTCAGGCTGGAGGGTGGGGCCTTTGCCAGGGAGCCACCCTCTTCTACCCAGTATTTCCCTGTCTCCTGTTTGTATCACCATCAATCACAGTTTGATTAACCTTTGATTCACACCTTAAGTGCCTGCTTCACCACTCCAAGCATACTGGATATTCTCAATTATAAAACTATCACATCAGGGCTGGGTGAGGTGGCTCACGCCTGTAATCCCAGCACTTTGGGAGGCCGAGGTGGGCAGATCACTTGAAGTCAGGAGTTCGAGACCAGCCTGGCTAACATGGTGAAACTCTGTCTCTACCAAAAATACAAAAACAAACAAACAATCACATCGGGATAAACATGTTCCCTGGGTTTGTTTTAATCAGGTATGGTAAGACACACAGACACAGAAATGACTGCCTTGAAGGAAGAAGTTTTTATATCACAGATTGCTAGAAACAGGAGGCACAGCATGCCACGGTGGGCCACATAGGAAGTACTAGCGTTGGTCAGGAGGTAGAGGAAGCAAGAAGAAAACATGAGGAAGATCCTTTGTTATGGTTTCTGCAGTTAGGAATGGGAGAGGCAGGCTACACAGGTTTAGGATTGGCTGGTTTGAGTAATTTCAGTGAGCTCTGGGCATAGGATCTGTACCTAGTGGCCTGATACCTGGACCTGGGATGATTATGGAACGGGAGTGTTGGCCCAGAGTGAGGAGCTGGGAGTGGTCTGGGTTCTGGAATGATGAGCTCGCATGTCAAAGGCACCACCCTGGTTGAGTTGTTTGCTATCTCTAGGAATTACCTATCTCTCAGAGGCACAGTCCCTCTCCCATTATAGAGGTCCTCAATGTCAAAACATCAGACTAAGAAAGCATAGCAATTAAAAAGTCTCTTGCAGCTGATTTTTTACAAATTGTATTGATTTAGCCCTTGATATTGGACCTAGAAATATATGTTCCACAAAGCCTTGTGAAATATTTGCTATTTTACTATATGCTTCATTGTCTCCTTTATTACATTTGGGGTATTTTGGTGCTTTATTTTAAGAGCAGTTTATATCAATAGTACAATGTGCAAAATTTTAACAGTATAAATTTTCCCCCATATTAAGTTCCCACAGAGGGGCTGGGCGCGGTGGCTCATGCCTATAATCCCAGCACTTTGGGAGGCCAAGGCAGGCAGATTATCTGAGATCAGGAGTTTGCAACCAGCCTGGCCAACATGGTGAAACCTGGTCTCTACTAAAAGCACAAAAATTAGCCAGGCATGGTGGCGTGCACCTGTAATCCCAGCTACTTGGGAGGCTGAGGCAGGAGAATCACTTGAACCCATGAGGCAGAGGTTGCGGTGAGCCAAGATTGTGCCACTGCACTCCAGCCTGGGCAACAAGAGTGAAACTCTGTCACAAACAAACAAAACACAGAGGTTCCCACAGAGGAAAAACAAATCTCAAATAAAATCTACTCCTCCTTAAAAAAATTATAGTCTCACAAAAAGTTAATGCCACTAAATCTGCCCATCACTTTTTCTCACACTGCTTGTCTCCACCAGAAGGAACCTCACTCTGATGTTTGGGAGAACTGTGGGATTTGTCTTCAGATTCTGTAGCCTCAGGAGTGTGGAAACCCGTCTGGTTTGTCTCCTAATACACAATCAGTCCAGAGGGAATCCATGTGCAAAACTCCTAAAATAACAATATGACCTCACATCTGTGAATGTGGCAAAATAAGTCAGGTATTGCATTTCTTCCCTTTGTTTGTCCATTATCCACTTCCTTCTCATCCTTTCTAAGATAATCTATATTTTATTGGAAATGGTGATGTATCTAACCCTAACAAACAAGTGAACAAACAACAGCAACATATGACAACAACCTTTCCCAGCCTGCGTGGCAGGCAGGTGGCCATTGAGATGTGAAAAGAAGATGCTGAGTGGTGATTCTGGGAAATCCCTGGAAAGTGATAAACTTCTTTTGCCCTTCCTCTCCTCATCCTTCCACTGAGACAGGACAAGATGGTGGGATCCCCAGCAGCCATTTTGGAAACACAGGGATGAAAGCCTCACTCTATGGCTGGGGGAGGAGGGATCTAGAAGGAGCCACGTTTCTGGCGTTGGACTTCCCATTCTGGAATTGTCATTATGGAAGACAAAAATAAACCCGTCTTGTTTAAATAGATGTAATTGGGATTTTCTGTTACCTGCAGCTGATTTAGATTCCCAGAGATAGGCATATCTCTTCTAATAATAGTAAAATTCTCTTCTAATTCTTCTCCCACTTTCAGTTTTTTTTTCCCTTCTCTAAAAATAGTCTAAATTGGTGTGTGGAAGGAAGTGGTGTTGAGGTGACGTCCAGAGTCGGGTTCTGTTTCCTCCCATCTTGAACCTCCCCAGACATCGGCCCAGCACTCACCAGCACCATGATGAGTGTGAGCCCCTACTGAAGAGCCTTCTCACGGCCTCCTGGACCTCCTTGTTCATCAGACTGTAGATGAAGGGGTTTAGCATAGAGGTCACCACAGTGTACATGATGGTTGCTATGGTGTCCTGGGCTGAGAAGGAGTCTGGGGGTCATATGCAGATCCCCAGGACAGTTCCATAGAACAGGGTGACCAGAGACAGGTGGGAGCTACATATGGAACATGCCTTGCGCCTTCTTGTAGGAGAGGGAATCCGGAGGATGGCTGCAGCAATGCGGATGTAGGAGACCAAGATGAGCGCACAGGGAGCCAGGAACAGGACCACGGCCCCCAGGAACACATGCTGATTGACATGTATGTGAGCAGGCAATCTTCATGAGCAGGTAGGCGTCACAGTAGAAGTGTGAAATCTGGGCGGAGGAGCAGAAGGCCAGTCTGCTCATGATGACCGTGTGGACCAGGGAGATGAGGCTGGAGCCTGCTCACGCTAGCACGGCCAGCCCCTGACAGAGCCGGGGGTGATGATGGAGCAGTACCGCAGGGCGCTGCAGATGGCCACATAGTGGTCCAGTGCCATGATGGCCAGCAGAAAGGTGTCCACGTTGGCAAAGGAGATGAGGAAGTACATCTGAGTCAGGCACTGGGGAGAAGAGATCGTCCATAGGCCGGGCGAGGTGGCTCACACCTGTAATCCCAGCACTTTGGGAGGCCGAGGCGGGCAGATCATGAGGTCAGGAGATGGAGACCATCCTGGCTAACATGGTGAAACCCTGTCTCTACTAAAAATACAAAAAAAAAAAAAAAAAGTTAGCCAGGCACGGTGGCAGGCACCTGTAGTCCCAGCTACTCGGGAGGCTGTGGCAGGAGAATGGCGTGAACCCGGGAGGCGGAGCTTGCAGTGAGCTGAGATCGGGCCACTGCACTCCAGCCTGGGTGACAGAGCAAGACAGTCTCAAAAAAAAAAAGAGATCATCCCTGTTCCTGCCACATGGTTGACCAGGAGCTTGGGGATCAGGTTGGTGATGAAGCAGATGTTGACAAAGGAGAGATGGGTGAAGAAGTACGTGGGGGTGTGCAGGCGAGGGTTGGAGCCGATGCCCAGGATGATGGGTGTGTTTCCAGCCTCAGTGACTAAGTGCATACACAGGAAGAGCCAGAAGAGGGCCTGCTGCTTCTCTGAGTCACTGGTGATGCTGAGCAAGAGGAACTCGCCAACTCCTGTCTCATTCTCTTTACCCCCTGGACATCCCACTACAGCTCAGGGAGGTAGCAGGCTACACAGACCACAGGGGAAAATCACTTAGCAGAGTCTGGGCTTGCTTTATGTTCAGAATCAGATTGCAGAATCAGAGGGGGAGGTTGCAGTGAGCCGAGATCTCACCACTGCACTCCAGCCTGCTGACAGAGCGAGACTCCGTCTAAAATAAATAAATAAATAAATAAATAAATAAATAAATAAATAAATAAATAAGAAAGTAAGGGTTGTTTCAGGAAGTTTATTTTTCAGGTTCATTGCAGCCCTAATTTTCAGTCTCTGGTGATAAGGGACTATTTTCTTGCCATGTCACTGGGAGGAATCTTTATGGCTGGCTGCATGCAGGGAGAGACAGGTCAGCTAACCCTTTCTGAAGCTACAATTTCTCCAATGTTTTTCATTCAAAATAATCAATATGCCGATTAAGCATATTTGGGGATAGCACGTCCTTGACTCCATTAACTACCATTATGGTTTTGGGGGAAGAACCCCAGAGAGGTGAAATATTTTTATCATACCAGAGGTACGTGATTATCAGCATGACTTATCACTGATAATGTTAACCTTCCTCACTTGTTTAGGGTAATGTTTCCCAGGCTTTTCCACCATAAAGTTTGTTTTTTCCCATATTCTATACTTTGTTCGTTGGAAGCAAGTCACTAAGTCCAGCCCATCCTCAAGTGGGAGGAGAGGATTAAGCTTCAGCTTCTGGTGGGTGGGTTTGGGGGTGGGAAAAGTGTTCACAGACATTACTTGGAATTCTTCTGTAAGGAAAATTTGTTTCTTCTCCCACACTGATTTATTTAATCATCTGTTTTCATCAGTATGGACTCGCTTATATTTATTTCATACTTTGGGTTATAATCCGATGTGAAGGTCTTCAAAAAGTTCATGGAAAGTATGTGTTAATATTATGAGAAAAACTATACACGGATCTCAAGCATTTTTTCGCATCAAAATAAACTCATACTAACATGTTATAACATGTCTGAACAGAATCTAGTTTGAGGCACTAGGAAGGATAAGACATCAGTTTGAAAAGAGCCCCTATCAGAAAAACATAAATTCTGCTAAATTTGAAACAGGGACAAACATTAAATTAGTGGAACAGAAACATCAAATTGAAGCTTGGGTGGAAGAGTGGTGAAATCATTGATGCTTTTTGAAACGTTTATGAGGACAATGCCCCAAAGAAATTAGCAGTTTACAAATGGATACATTGTTTTAAGAAGGGAGGAGATGAGATGATGTTTAAAATGAAGCTTGCAGTGGCAGACTATCTGCATCAATTTGCAAGAAAAAAATTCATCTTGGTCTTGCCTTAATAGAAGAGGACTGGCAATTAACAGCAAAAGCAATAGCCAGCACCATAGATATCTCAACTGTTTCAGCTTACACAATTCTGACTGAAAAAGTTAAGAAAACTTTCTACTCGATGAGTGCCAAAACCATTGCACCCTGATCAGCTGCAGACAAGAGCAGAGATTTCCATGGAAATTTTAGACAAGTGGGATGAAGATCCTGAAGCATTTCTTCGAAGACATGTAACCGGAGATGGAACATGGCTTCACCAGTACAATCCTGAAGACAAAGCACAATCAAAGCAATGGCCACCAAGCGGCGGAAGGGGTCTAGTCACAGCAAAAGCAGACCAGTCAAGAGCAAAGATCATGGCAACTGGTTTTTGGAGATACTCAAGGCATTTTGCTTGTTGACTTTCTGGAGGGCCAATGAACAATAACGTGCTTATTATGAGAGTGTTTTCAGAAAGTTGGCCAAAGCTTTAGCAGAAAGCTAAAAAAAAAAAAAAAAAAAAAAAGCTTTAGCCCAGGAAAGCTTAACCATAGAGTCCTTCTCCACCACGACAATGCTCCTGCTCATTCCTCTCATCAAACAAGGGCAATTTTGCAAGTTTCGCTCTTGTGCAATGGCGCACTCTTGGCTCACCACAACCTCCGACTCCCAGGTTCAAGTAATTCTTCTGCCTCAGCCTCCTGAGTAGCTGGGATTACAGACATGTGCCACCATGCTCGGCTAATTTTGTATTTGTGGTAGAGTCAGGGTTTCTCCATGTTAGTCAGGCTAGTCTTGAACTCCCGACCTCAGGTCATCCATCCACCTCAGCCTCCCACAGTGCTGGGATCACAGGCATGAGCCACTGCACCTGGCCTTGCAAATGTTTCTATTGGAAATCATTAGGCATTCACCTTACAGTTCTCATTTGGCTCCTTCTATTTTTTTTGTTTTCTAATCTTACAAAAATCTTTAAAGGGCACCCATTTTTTCTTCCATTAATAATGTAAAAAATGCTACGTTATCACAGTTGAATTCCCAGGACCCTCAGTTCTTTAGGGATGGACACTAAATGGCTGGCATCATCACTTATAAAAGTGTCTTGAACTTGATGGAGCGTCTGTTAAGAAATAAAGTTTGTATTTTTAATTTTTACCTTTCTTACTTTTTTTTTTTTTTGAGACGGAGTTTTGCTCTTGTTGTCCAGGCTGGAGTGCAATGGTGCAGTCTTGGCTCACTGCAACCTCTGCCTCCTGGGTTTAAGCCACTCTCCTGCCTCAGCCTCTCAAGTAGCTGGGATTACAGGCACGTGCCACCACGCCTGGCTAATTCTGTATTTTTAGTACAGAGGGGGTTTCTCCATGTTGATCAGGCTGGTCTCGAGCTCTTGACCTCAGGTATTCTGCCCACCTCTGCCTCCCAAAGTGTTGGGATTACAGGCGTGAGCCACTGTGCCCAGCCCTAATTTTTATCTTTCAATTGCGTTTTTTCCATGAACTTTTTAAAGCCCCTCATACTACTCTGTTTATTGCTTGAATTGTTCCAGTTTTGACCATTAGTAGCTTTTTTACATTGGCTGCTGTATCTCTTTGACATGTACCCATCCTCTGTTCTGGTTTCTGTTTCTTCATTGTTGGTTTTTTTCTTTTTTTTCTTTGAGACAGAGTCTTACTCTGTCTCCCAGGCTGGAGTGCAGTGGTGCAATCTTGGCTCACTGCAACCTCCGCCTCCCAGGTTCAAGTGATTCTCCTGCCTCAGCCTCTCAAGTAACTGGGATTACAGGCACCCATCACCACACCCAGCTAATTTTTGTATTTTTAGTAGAGATGGGGTTTCGCCATGTTGGCCACGCTGGTCTTGAACTCCTGACCTCAGGTGATCTGCCCGCCTCGGCCTCCCAGAGTGCTGGGATTACAGGCATGAGCCACTGCACCTGGCCTGTTGGTTTTTTTAGTGCTTTCTTACTTTCTTACACTACGAGATGCCCCAGGCTCATCTTACGCTTTCCCTGCCTCAGGCCTAGAATCAGCCATTTATTCAAGGAGCCCAAACCAGTAATTTTTGACCAGCAACACAATAAACATGAAGTTCAGAGCAGCTAAAAGATGACCTGATGGAAATTGGCTCAGCATACAAAAATTAGCTAGGCATGGTGGCGGGCACCTGTAACTCCAGCTACTTGGAAGGCTGAGGCACAAGAACTGCTGGAACCTGGGAGATGGAGGTTGCAGTGAGCCGAGATTGTGCCACTGCACTCCAGTCTGGCTAACTAGTAAAAAAAAATTTTTTTTTAAGATGGAGTCTTACTATGTTGCCCAGGCTGGTCTCGCACTCTTGGGCTCAAGCAGTCCTTCAACCTGGGCCTCCTAAAGTGCTGGGATTACAGACATGAGATATTGTACCCAGCCTCATTTTTTTTTGCATATGGATATCCAGTTGTTTTAGCACAATTTGTTGAAAAGATCGCTTTCTCCACTGAATTACCTTTGCACCTTTCTCAAAATTGTTTGCTTCAATAGCAGTTAGCATACCTAGTACCCAGATCTTGGTTTTTAAAACCATTCTTCAGTAAAACAATCTAGAGCTCCTTGAAGTGGCTGATTTTAGGACTGAGGCAGGAAATACACAAGATGAGCCTGGAACATCTTGTAGCACCAGAAAGTAAGGAAGTACTGAATAAGGAAAACCGTATTTGATGGGGTTACATGACAGGAGCCAACTGAAAGAGCTCCCAATGGTCAAAGCTGGAACAACTGGAGCAGCAGAATAAAGAGAGTAGTATTGGATTATAACCCAGAGTATACAGTAAATATCCATGAGTTCATACTCATGGATATTTTGGTAAAAGTTTCTTACGCAGTTGGAAAGAATGTGTATTCTGTTGTGTTGGGGTGGAGTATTCTATAAATGTCAGGTTAAGTTGTTTGATAATGCTGTTCAAGTATACTATATCCTACTCATTATCTGGAAGACAATGAAATCTCTGGAAGATTGGGAGAGGGAGATTGAAATCTTGTTATAATTATAAACGTGTCTATTCCTCTGTGCTGTTCTATTAGATTTTTCTTCATATATTTTGAAGCTCTGTTATTAGATGTGTTGAAGTCAGATAAAATAAAGAGATGAATCTCTAAATTTAAAATGTTTTATTTTGGAAGCAAGAATTGCAGTTGGGGCATACACACAGACCAGGTGGGTTTTGGTATGTCTGAAGAACAAAGAGAAGGTTAGAGGTGTTATGAAAAAGAGAAATGTTACATATTGTTTTGCAAGAAAGTACATTGTCACTGGTAAGGTTCCGGGGAGCTGGCAAGTTCTGATTGGTGAGTGATGGCGGTGGGTCAAACTAGTTTTAGAGTTGTACCAGGTTATTTTAACAGCTAATTAGATAAACTGGCTTCAGTTTACAACAGCTAGGCTTGCAGAGAATTCATTCTTGGAGCAATGTTATGTGCCCTGATTGCTTTTATTTCTCTGGCCTCTTGACTCTGTTTTAGTTGGGTATGACAAGAATAACCCAATTTGTATGATCAACTTTCACAGATGTGTAAATATGTGGGATTGTTACATTCTCTTGATTAATTGACCCCTTTATCATCATCAGATGACCTTATTTATCCCTGGTAATATTTCTTGCTCTAAAGTTTACATTGTCTGATATTACAATAGCCACTCTTTTTGATGAGTGTTAGCATGGTATATCTTTTTCCACTGTTTGATTTTGATAGGTATATTTGAAGTGCATTTATTGTAGGGAATATAAAATTGGGTCTTACTTTTTTAAATCAAATCTTAAAATCAATCTCTGCTTTTGTTTATTTATTTTGAGATGGAGTCTCATTCTGTTGTCCAGGCTGGAGTGCAATGGTGCGATCTTGGCTCACTGCAACCGCTGCCTCCCTGGTTCAAGCAATTCTGTTGCCTCAGCCTCCTGAGTAGCTGAGATTGCAGGCACCCACCACCACGCCCAGCTAATTTTTGTATTTTTTTTAGTAGAGATGGGGTTTCATCATGTTGGCCAGGCTGGTCTCGAACTCCTGACCTCAGGTGATCCGCCCTCCTCTGCCTCCCAAAGTGCTGGGATTACAGGCGTGAGCCACTAAGCCCAGCCCAATCTCTGTTTTTTAATTAGGATATTCAGACTATTTACATTTGATGTGATTATTCATATAGTTAGGATTGAGTCTACAAACCCTGCAACGTGTTGTCTATTGGCTCCATCTGTTAGTTGTTCTATGTTTTCTCTTGGTCTAACTTCCTTTGGATTAATTGAATATTTTTAATGTTTTCATTTGATCTCCTTTGTTGACTTATTAGCTATAACTATTTCTCTTGTTCTTTTAGTGGTTGCCTTAGGGTTTATTATATACTTCTTCAGCTTATCGGTCTATCTGCAAGTGATGTTATACCATCTCCTGTATAAGAACCTTACTGTGTTATATTTCTATTTCTTCTCTCTCAGACTTTAAGCTGTATCATCTTATTCATGTTACAAACACTATATGGCATTATTATTATTTTTGTTTACATTCATCTGTCTTTTGCAGTTATTATTATTATTTTTTTTTGACGTAGAGTTTCACTCTTGTCACCCAAGCTAGAGTGCAATGGTGTGATCTTGGCTCACTGCAACCTCCGCCTCCCAGATTCAAGTGACTCTCCTGTCTCAGCCTCCTGAGTAGCTGGGATTACAGACATGCCACCACGCCCAGCTAATTTTTTTTTTTTTTTCAGTAGAGACGGGGTTTCACTATGTTGGCCAGGCTGGTCTCAATCTCCTGACCTCAGGTGATCCACCTGCCTTGGCCTCCCAAAGTGCTGGGATTATAGGCATGAGCCACCGCGCCCAGCCTCTTTTACAGATTTTTAAATAAGAAAACAGTCATATATTCATCTGTGCAGTTATCGATTCTGGTGTTCTTCATTCCTTTGTATAGATGTGCATTTTCATATAGGGTCATTTTTCTTCTACCTGAAAGACTTCCTTTAACATTTCTTTTAGTGCGGGTCTGCTGGTAGTAAATTCTTTCAGCATTTCTTTTTCTGACAGTCTGTTTCACTTTGGATTTGTTTTATACTGGATTTAGAATTGTACACTGACAGTTTCTTTTTCTTTCAGTACTTTAAAGCTATTGCTCTCCTGTATATCACTTGCATGGTTTCTGATGACCAATCTGTTGTCATCCGTGTCCTTGTTTCTTTATATGCAGTGCCTTTTTTCTCTCTGGTTACTTGTGTTTTCTCACTGATTTTGCACTCTCTTATTATTAGGTGGCTTCTTTTAGTAAGGAAACTTCATTACTTGTGCTTGGGTTTCTTGATCTTCCTATATCTGTGAATTTGTAAGTTTCTATTTTTCTTTTTTTTTGAGATGGAGTCTTGCTCTGGCCCAGGCTGGAGTGCAGTGGTGCGATCTTGGCTCACCACAACCTCCACCTCCCGGGTTCAAGTGATTCTCCTGCCTCAGCCTCCTGAGTAGCTGGGACTACAGGCGCGTGCCACCATGCCTGGCTAATTTTTGTATTTCTAGTAGAGATGGGGTTTCACTATGTTGGCCAGGCTGGTCTTGAACTCCTGACCTCATGATCCGCCCGCCTTGGCCTCCCAAAGTGCTGGGATTACAGGCATGTGCCACCGCGCCCAGCTGAATTTGTATGTTTCATAAAAATCTGAACAATTACTATTTTTCTGTACCCCTTGCTCCCTCTTTCCATTTGCACATATATTAGGCTGTCTGATGCTGTCACACAGCTCACTGATAACTGTTTTTGAAAATTATTTTGTTCTCTGTTTTATTTTGGATAATATATATCGCTGTCTTCAAGTTCACTGATCTTTCCTTCTGCAATGTCTAATTTGCCATTCATCTCATCCACTGTTTTTTCACCTTAGTGATTATATTTTTCATCTTTAGAAGTATGATTTGGGTCTTTAAAAAATATCATCCATTGGAGTTAGAGCTGAAAAAAAGAAAAAATAAAAATATTATCTCTGTCTCTTCTTAACTTTTTGAACATATGGACTACAGTTATAGTAACTGTTTTTGATGTTCTTGTCTGCTAATTCTAACATCTGTGCCATTTCTGGATCAGTTTAAGGTGACTGATTTCCCCCTCATTGTGGGTCTTTTCTTGTCGTTTTGTGTGCTGTTAGTTCAACCGGATGCTAGATACTGTGGATTTTACCTTGTGTTGCTGGGTATTTTATTACTCCTATAAATATTCTTTAGCTTTGTTCTGGGATGTAGTTAAGCTGCTTAGAAGAAGCTTGATCCTTTCAGGTCTGGCTGTCAAGATTTGTTAGGTCAGAACAGAGCAACATTTTTTTTCCTAGGGCTAATTATTCCCTATCACTGAGGCAAGAGCTTTTTGCTTCTACCACCAGTGTCCCTGAATTATTAGGTTTCTAGTCCGGCTGTTAGAAACAGGTGCCCTTCTCAGCCCTCTGTGAACCCAGGTGCTGTTCTCACTAGTCCTTTCCGATCATTCCTTCTCTGATCTCTGGTAGTTTCCTGACAACGCTTGCACTGATCAGTACTCAAACAGACCCTCCACAGAAGTCTGGAGTTTTCTCCTTTCCTGCTTTCTGTTGCCTGTTACTCTGTCTTGTGAACACCCACTGCCTTGGCCTCCTCAGTTCAGGGAGCCTGCCCTCCTCCTCGTTTCCTCTCCCTATGCCTAGGCACTTGCTTGAGGTGGTGTGCCGGGCAGTCACAGGGCTGCCACAGGGATCATTAGCTTTTATTGCCTCGTGCCCACTGGCCTGAGAGCTGTTGTTTCCTGTATTTTTTCAGGATTTTGGTTGTGCCAAGTGGGAGGGTAAATCCGTTTCCTTTTACTCCATCTGCTAGAAGCAGAAGTGTCCACTGACTTTTAATATTTTTCTTTCAAACCCCACATTAGAAGAAACCCTTCCTCTGTAACAACAACCAACAGCTTGACAAAGTGTGTTCCCATTGTTCTGTCACTCCTCTGCTTTTCAAAGCAAGCCTGCAAGGTGGATGCTATATCCCCATTTTACAGATAAGGGGACAGAGCCTCAGAGAGGTTAAGAGACTTTTCCCAGGTCACACAGACCGCCATTGTAGTGGGGATATGGGCTTGATCCTGGCTCCGCCTGTACAGACTGTGTGACCTTGGTAGTTCCCGGCTGTACAGATTGTACAGACTGTGTGACCTGCTGTAGTTCCCAGCAGGGAAAACAGAGCCATATGGTGTAAGGGTTGGTATTACTGTTTTCATTTTTAATTTTTATTTTATTTTATTTTTTGGTGGGCTTTGAGAGTGATATTTCCAGGGTGACAGCGTCACTGAGCTGGGGCACCTGGGGAGAATCAGGGATCTCTGTGATTGGTCTTCTGACTGCGCCTTATTCAGAAGATAAGGCAATTTTTTTTTTTTTTGAAATGGGGGTCTCACATTGTTGCCCAGGCTGGAATGCAGTGGTGCCATCTTGGCTCACTGCCTCCTAGGTTCAAATGATTCTCATGCGTCAGCCTCCTAAGTAGCTGGGATCACAGGCGCGTGCCACCACGCCCAGCTAATTTTTTGTATATTTGGTAGAGCTGGGTTTTTGCCATGTTGGCCAGGCTGGTCTTGAACTCCTGACCTCAAGTGATCCACCCACCTTGGCCTCCCAAAGTGCTGGGATTATAGGCGTGAACCACCGCGCCTGGTCAGAGAGTGTGTCTTCTTATCTAATGCATCTGCCAGAGAATCAGGCTTCTTGCCAGAGCTGTGGAGTTGGGAGTCTGAAACCCCTGAAATCTCAGGGATAGTGGGGAGTTACTGGCACCCAGTGGTAGAGAGGACGGGGTGAGGGGAGGGAGGAGCACCAGAAGGTTAGAGGGTAGCCTGGTGGAAGCTGTGGGCAGAGCACACTGAGGTGGGGCTACACCAGCTCTCCACCGCTCTCCACCCATCTCCTGGTTTGTGATTATCCCTGCTTCTCCCACTTCTGGGTGAAAAAGGTGGGGAAATAAATTCATGAAGCCGTGAGTAGGTGAGGTGTTAGGGAGACAGCTTGCCAGGGTGGGCAGCACAGATGACTGGTGGGTGGGGAGGGAGGTGGTGGGAGGTGAATGTGCAGATCCTCAGATCTCTGAGAAACAAGGTGGAGGGGGCTAACGTGGTGTGCAGAGTGGCAGGTGGGGGCACTGGTGGCTGATACCTGAGGCACAGGTGTTTCCTGGAAAGAAGGGGATGTGGTCTTTTCCTGGCCATGGGGGAGGCTTTGAAAGGTTCTTGGAGAATTTCTTTTATAGTGAGATTATTTTCAGACTGAGTTTTTTAAAGTGTGGAATGGCACAGAATAGTGCCATTTATTAAGTGCCTACTGTATGCTCAGAACCCATTTCACATGCATCAGCCTGTTTCATTCTCACATAAGGTAGGTACTATTAATTCCATTTCACAGGTGCAGAATTTGAGGCTCAGGGCCATGGGGATGGCTTACTGAAGCACCCTGTGCTTTGTCTTGTGTGTGTGGTGGGTTTTTTTTGTTGTTGTTGTTTGTTTGTTTGTTTTGAGACGGGCTCAGTCTGTCACCTAGGCTGGAGTGTAGTGGCACAATCATAGCTTATAGCTCACTGCAGCCTCAACCTCTCCAACTCAAGCGATCCTCCTGCCTCAGCCTCCCGAAGTGCTAGGATTACAGATGTCAGCCACCAGCCTGCTTTGTTGTTGTTATTGTTGTTTTGAGACAGGGTCTTGCTCTTTGGCCCATGCTGGAGTGCAGAGGTGCAGTCTTGGCTCAGTGCAGTCTCCTGGGCTGACGCCATCCTCCCACCTCAGCCTCCTGAGTAGCTGGGATTACAGGCGTGCACCAACCATGCCCAGCTAACTTTTTGCATTTTTTGTAGAGGTGGAGTTTCACCATGTTGCCCAGCTGGTCAGGTGATCTGCCCACCTCTGCCTCCAAAAGGGCTGGGATTACAGTCATGAGCTTCCTTCTTTCAACGCAAGATGTTCATAGGGGGCTGGAGTCTGTTTAGACAGAATTCATGGGAGGGCCTTGACCTCAGCTTAGCAGATTTGGAGAGGGATGAGAGAAGAGAATACAATATTTAAGACTGTGCCAAATACAGTATTAGGTTCCTATATACATTCTGCATAGTAGATACTATTGAGTGAACTGGTATCGTTTTGACTACTCCAATAGTAACTCCTCTTCCTGTGGGAAGCTAGAGTTTCTGTTAGTATTTGTATGTTAACTGTCCCAATTTTTTTTTTTTCAGCAGGGTCTCGCGTGTCACCCAGACTGGAGTGCAGTATGTGATCTCATCTCACTGCAGCCTCCGCCTCCTGGGTTCAAGCAATTCTCCTGCGTCAGGCTCCAGAGTAGCTGGAATCACAGGTGCGCACGACCAAGCTTGGCTAATTTTTGTATTTTTAGTAGAGATGGGGTTTTGCCATGTTGGCCAGGCTAGTCTTGAGCTCCTGACCTCAGGTGACCCATCTGCCTTGACCTCCCAAAGTGCTGGGATTACAGGCGTGAGCCACCGCGCCTGGCCCCATTGTCCCAATTTTTAAATGTTGGCATCTAATTGAAAAAAAAAAAAACATGTGGACCAAACAGTGCAGTTCTCAACTGCAGTTCTTCACATGTAGTTCTTGACTGCAGGTGAAAGGAGTTTTTGGCAGCAGAGCTCCTGCAGTGCCACGCTCTGTGCTAGGGTGGCTGGGGACAAAGGCAAGTCAGCCAGGACTCCTTGGGAAGCTTTGATCCACAGGTGAGAGCAGCCTTCTACAGGGGAAAGGAGCACTGTCATAGGATTTGGTGTAATGGGATTTGACCCACGTTATTCTTGAGCTCCTTAGGCATGAATCTGCAGAAGGCTTTTTGTAGCTGAAATGGAAAAAGTAAAACACCTTGCAGCAGGCTTTTTTTTCTCCTAAGGGCTTTTGAGTTTCCTAAGGACTTTCCCTATCTCATTTGAGTTACTCCATTAAATGAGCAATAAACCCATTTTCCTGGGGGTCGAGGGGTAGCAGGCAACTAAGGCTCAAGGGAAATAAGTGTCTGAGAGTCACACAGGCTGGGATGAGGGAGAGGCCAGCCTGGGACCCAGCCCTCCTGAGTCTGTTTCCCAGCTTGCTACAAATAGGGAGGGGGAAGTGCGGACAGCTCAGAGAGATGAGACGACTCATCCAAAGACATACATCCAGGAAGCTCAAGAAAGGTACCAAAGCGTGTCCATGCACTCCTTGAGGTAATCTGAAAAATGTTTTATATTTGCACTTTTGTCTGTTTCTCAGAGTAAAAGTCCTAAAACTTTGGACAGATTCTCAAAGGGGTCTGTGATTCTCAAAGAGTTAAGAGCCACTAATTTAAGCTGAGGCCTTTCTGACTCCAAAGCCTGTATGCGGGGGCACCCTCCACCAGATCCTAGTTAAGAGGATATTCTTTAAAATTAAAACCTATATAAGATCTGGGTCTGCATCCTGAAGAAAGCACACTCATGGTAAATGGTCTGGCTATCTATTGCTATGTAGCAAATCATACTGAAATTTAGGGGCTTATAACAACCACAATCAACGTATGGTCTTATGATTCCCCTGTGAGGCATTTTGGAAGGGCTTGGCTGGGTGGATTTCTCTTATGCTTTCATTCAGACAGTGGCTACACCTGGAACAGTGGAGGGGCAGGCCAGAGGGGAGCTGGCTGAGCCTGTCTGCCTCTTCATGTCAGCTCAGGGCCTCGCTGTGTGGTTGGTCTGCATGAGTAGTGAAGGCTTCTTCATAGTGTGACTGCTCAAGGCCACTGGATCATCCACAAGCTGCTCTGGGCCACAGTAGGAGTGTCCAGGCAGCAGGGTGGAAGCTGCATCACCTTTTCCGATCACTGCCACTGTAGTCACAAGGTCTCTCAGGATTCATAGGGTGGGAACAGAGACCCCCACCCATCAATAGGAAACATGTCCAAGACACATTGTTAAGAAGAACATAAGAGCTGGGCATGGTAGTAATCCCAGAACTTTGGGAGGCTGAGGTGGGAGGATCACTTGAGTCCAGGAGTTTGACACCAGCCTGGCCAACATAGAGAGACCTCATCTCTACAAAAAATGAAAAAATTAGCCAGGTGTGGTGGTGCACGCCTGTGGTCCCAGCTATGTGGGAGGTTGAGGTGGGAGGACTACTTGAGCCTGAGAGGATGAGGCTGTAGTGAGCCATGATTGTGCCACTGCACTCCAGCCTGGGCAACAGAGCAAGACTGTTAAGAAAAAATATATAAGAACATAAGGGATGGGAGGTGACATGACTGTGTTTGGAAAGCACAGCATGCCACAGCGTGAGAGTGCAAGTGGCAGCAAGGAGTCCAGTGTGGCTTGAGTGGAGTGGGAGGAGTGGAAGGGGGTGAGCTCAGAGAGGCCGTATGCAGCTCTGTCAAGTTTGGGCTAGTAAACCAAGGTGTGGGCTTTTCATTTCATTCTAAATGAGATGGGAAGCTAATGAAAGGCTTTAAGAAGGGGTGTGATGTGATCTTATGTGTGTTTTAATAAACTTACTGGGGCTGCTGTGTCTGGAGAGAAGGATTGAAGGGGGCAAGAATGGAAGCAGGGAGACCAATAAGGAGTCTACTGCAGTCACGCTGGCCAGAGGTGATGGTGATGATGGAGGCTGTGGGATGGAGAGGAGTGGATGATTGCTGATATATTTTAGAGGGAGAATTATCAGTTTGCTGTTGGAATTGTTGGAGGATGGGAAGGTTGAGGGAAAGTCATCTGAAGAATGACAGTTTGCAGGACTGTGGCTTGAGTACCTAGGTTGATGGTGGTGCCATCAACCTGATGGGGTAATAGGTGTGTGTGTGTGTGTGTGTGTGTGTGTGTGTGAATTCAGATTTCAGTTTGGAATGTTAAGAGACTGGATTGCTGAGTAGGCCGTTGCATAGATGAAATGAGGGGAAGAGGTCTGAGCTGAAGATGCACAGTTTGGAATGTCTTCCCCTAGTTTTGCCTGAAGGCTTTAAGTTGGACATATGCCTCTGATTTTCCTACAGTAGCAGATCTCTGGGCCGGTGGGAAGCTGACAGCAGATTGGATGGGGTGAGATCAAGGGAGACTCATTTTTGGGAGCTCGGTGGCTCCATGGTGGGATCTAAGTGGTCTAAGTGAGATTCCCGTCTCAATACTATTTCACTACTATTTCCCATTCCCACCAGCAAGATATGAGGTTTCCATTTCTCCACATAGTCACCAGTACTTGTTATTGTTTGTCTTTTTGATTATAGCCATACTTGTGGGTGTGAAGTGGTATCTCATTGTCTTTTTAAATTTGCATTTCCATAATAACTAATGATGTTGAGCATCTTTTCATGTACCTACTAACCATTTATATATCTTCTTTGGTAAAATGTCTATTCAAATATTGCACCCATTTTAAAATTATTGAGTTGCAAGAGTTCTTGATATATTTTGCATAAAAGTTCTTTGCCAGATACAAAATTTCCATATATTTTCTCCTAGTCTGTATCTTGTCTTTTCATTCACTTAACAATGTCTTTTTAAATTTTTAATGAGGCTGGGTGCAGCGGCTCCCTCCTGTAATCCCAGCACTTCGGGAGGCCTAGCTGGGCGGATCATTTGCGGTCAGGAGTTCAAGACCAGCCTGGCCAATATTGTGAAATCCCTTCTCTACTAAAAATACAAAAATTAGCTGGGCATGGTAGTGCACACCTGTAATCCCAGCTACTCAGGAGGCTGAGGCAGGAGAATCACTTGAGCCCAGGAAGTGGAGGTTGCAGTGAGCCAGGACTTGAGCCCAGGAGGTAGAGGTTGCAGTGAGCCGGGATTGTGCCACTGCACTCCAGCCTGGGTGACAGGGTGAGACTTTCGCTAAATAAATAAATAAATAAATAAATAAATAAATAAATAAATAAATTTTTAAGGAATCTCAGCTGTGTGTCAGGCTGAGAAAAAACTTTTAATGATGCTCAGTTTCTTATGCCTTGTTCTTTGGTGTCATGACTAAATTGTATGTCATAAATATTTTCTCATTTTTTTCTGAAATTCTATAATTTTGTTTTATACTTAGATCTATGATCCATTTTGAGTTAAATTTTTTATAAGATGTGAAATTTATACTGAAGATCATTTTTGTTTAATTGTTTCAATAGCAGTTATTAAAAGCAATGTACTGAATTGCTTTTTTACTTTTTGTCAAAAAATAGCCATGTTTTTATGAACTTATTTCTGATCTTCATATTCTATTCCATTAATCTATTTTTCTATCCTTTCACTAATACCACAGTATCTTGATTACTGTAACTTTATAGTAAGCCTTAAAATCAGGTAGTATAATTCGTACGTGTTTGTTTCTCTCTTCAAAAATTCTTTTAGGTATTCTAGGTCCTTTGCCTTTCTATGTCAATTATTTTAGCTACCTAGTTTCTTTTCCTCTCTGTACAAATTTTAGAGTTGGTTGGTCTGTTGCTACAAAATACTCTGCCAGGATTTTGATTGGAATTTGTTTTATAGTAGTGGTGGGAGTAGATGTCTTTACCTTATTCCCTGGTCTCAGGGGAAAAGCATTTGTCTTTCACCATTTAAGAATGTTAATCTGGGCTTGGCGTGGTGTCTCACACCTGTAATCCTAGCACTTTGGCACTTTGGGAGGCCAAGGAAGGTGGATCACTTGAGGCCAGGAGTTCGAGACCAGCTTGGCCAACATGGGGAAACCCCATTTCTACTATTAAAAAAAATACAAAAATTAGCTGGGCATGGTGGCACTTGCCTGTAATCCCAGCTACCTGGGAGGCTGAACCACAAGAATCACTTGAACCCGGGAGGTAGAGGTTGCAGTATGCAGAGATCACACCACTGCACTCCAGCCTGGGCAACAGAGCAACACTCTGTCTCAAAAAAAGAAAAAAAAAAAAAAAGATAAAAATGAATGCTAGTCTGGGCAACATGGCAAAACCCCATCTCTATCAAAAATGCAAAAATATTGGCCAGGCGTGGTGGTGCATGCCTGTGGTCCCAGCTACTCAAGGGGGCTAAGGTGGGAGGATTACTGGAGCCCAGGAAGTTGAGGCTGCAGTGAGCCATGATCATGCCACTGCACTCCAGCCTGGATGATAGAGTGAGATGCTGTCTTGAAAAAAAAAAGTGTTAGCTACAGCTTTTTTTTTTTTTTTTTTTTTTTTAGATAGGTATCCTTTATCAGTTGGGGATAAATTATTCACAGTTTGCCAAAAGTTTGTACCATATATGATGATGAATTTTGTCAAATGATTTTTCTGTATCACTTGATTTGATCATATTTTTTCTTTAGATTGTTATATGGTGGATTATACTGATTAATTTTGAAATATTGAACCAGTCTTATAGGGATAAACTACTTGATCTTGCATTTTTACACATTGCTGGGTTTAGTTTGCTAGTATTTTCTTTTCTTTTCTTTTTGTTTTTTGAGATGGAGTTTCACTCTTGTTGCCCAGGCCTTAGGAGTGCAATGGCACCATCTCGGTTCACTGCGACCTCCGCCTCCTGGGTTCAAGTGATTCTCCTGCCTCAGCCTCCTGAGTAGCTGGGATTACAGGCATGCGCCACTGTGCCGGGCCAAGTTTTTTTTTTTTTTTTTTTTTGTATTTTTAGTAGAGATGGGGTTGCACCATTTTGGCCAGACTGGTCTTGAACTCCTGACCTCAGGTGATCCGCCCCCACCTCGGCCTCCGAAAGTGCTGGGATTTCAAGCATGAGCCACCGTGCCCGGCCCTGCTAGTATTTTCTTAAGGATGTTCACATCTTTGTTCATGAGGGATATTGATCTACGGTGGGTTTTTTAAACACTTTTATTATTGAGTTTTGAGAGTTCTTTATATGTTCTATACACATCTTCTCTGTTAAATATGTGGTTTGCAAATATTTTCTAACAGTCTGTGGATTATGTTTTTATTCTCGTTTTTGTTATAATATTTGGCAAATAATAATTGTATATATTCATAGAGTACACAGTGATGCTTCGATACATATCATGTATAATGATCAGATCAGGGTAATTAGCATATCCCTCATCTTAAACATTTATCATATCTTTGTGTTGGGAACATTCAGTATACTTCTAGCTATTCAAAGCTATGTATTATTAACTATAGTCATCCTACAGTGGTATAGAACCCTGGAACTTATTCAGTCTACATATTCATTCTCTTAACAATATGTTTTGATGAGCAGAAGTAATTAATTTTGATGAATTCCAGCTTGTTAAATTTTCATAATTTTATGGATCACGCTTTTGGTATCATATCTGTAAAATCTTTGCCAAACCCAAGGTCACAAAGATTTTCTCCTATTTTTTTCCAGGAACTATTTTTTTAAAAAGAGAATAGAAGTTTGTTTGTCTGCAGGTGAAGTAGCTCAATTTGTAAATGTTTTAAAACAAAACATGTCTGTTTTCTTCCTAAACATGTCTAGGAAAGGGCTATGGGTTATCGGTTTTAATATATTAGCTTATATTATACTAAAAATCACAGATACTCAGCTATGTTTGACCTATAGAAACAGCAGCTTTTAAAATTGTAGGCAGTCAACCTAGTCACATATGTCTTTGGCTCAGTACAGAATCTATCTTTTTTTTTTTTTTTTTTGGTCTGGTAAAGTCCTATGAATTAGATAAGCCATCTTTAACTCATGCCTAATTAGGGAAACATCTTCCCCAGGGACATACAACAGGAGTCCACTTAGGGGTATGGACTGTAAAGCTCAAAGGTCACTTGGTGCACGGATCTCCAAAGCAGAGGCCTCCACAGACATTTTACTTGAATTTCATATTTGAAATAACATTCAAGTAAGCACCATAATTAATGCAGTGTGAATCTTCAGATACGTTGCATGCTAAATATTAACATTTTGGAGATGGCTAGCACAGTTTCCTATACCTCTAACTAGGCTGGGTAGATGCTTGACACTAAAGTTTCTCCTCCTATCTCTGTGTGATTAAAGAGGATCCTGACATTGTAAAGCAAGCTTTTAAGTACTGCTAGCCTTTTAAGTACTGCTATTCTTTGCGACCTGGGATTTTCATAATATTTGGAACAACAACAAAAAAAGATGAGACTAAGTTCAGTACTGAAGTTGAGACATGACTGCTTCTGTTTCTAGTTTCTTATCTAGTTTCTTATTCTTTTTGACCTGTAAAGCAACGTCATTATTCTCAATGAATGACCTGATAAGTAAGTGTGGTAGAGTAAGTATACAGTGCCATTTTCCTTTTCCAGCAGAGGAAGATTACATTTCCCAGACTACCTTGCATTTGAATGGAGGCCTGTGCCTGGATACTGAGGGCGCCTGGGATGTGGATGGAAGTGGTGTATGTTCTTTTGGAGAAATTCCAGGGCTTTATTTTCCCTAAAGCCTGGCTCTATGCTGGGTTTCCTCCATCTCCCTAGATTAATAAGTTTGGGTAATGATTTTTGGTCATTTTTTCCTTCAAACGGTTGCCAGAAGCAATACTAGAAGAGCAGGTCATTGGATACATGAAATAACATTAACATTCATAGGAGAACTTTTCAGCCATAGGCAAATCTCCAGCAGCCCGGAGAAACAAGACATTAGAAAGTCCAAAAACTCACAGTAGTGGCAAAATCAGTTTAGTGAAAAAAAAACAAAAAACAAACAAACAAAAAAAACAGTAATAATACTGACAAAAAGAGTTGTCATTTAGAAACAGAATCCAGTTTTGTTTTTGTTTTTGAGACAGAGTCTCTCTCTGTCGCCAAGGCTGGCGATCGCGCAGTGGTGAGATCTCGGCTCACTGAAACCTCTGCCTCCCCAGGTTCATGCGATTCTCTTGCTTCAGCCTCCCAAGTAACCAGGACTACAGGAACAAACCACCATGCCTGGCTAATTTTTGTATTTTTAGTAGAGATGGGGTTTCATTGTATTGGCCAGGCTGGTCTCAAACTCCTGACCTCAGGTGATCCACCTGCCTCAGCCTCCCAAAGTGCTGGGATTACAGGTGTGAGCCACCGTGCCCGGCCAGTAGAAACAGAATCCGGGTTTTGAAAAGAAATCAGGACTGAGACAAGACAGATCCCAGTCCTGTAAGATTTGGATTATGAGAAAGGGAACTGGGGCAAAGTCTCACACTCAGGAGAGAGAAGCATCTTAGTCACTTCCACTGGTCTGCAAGGTGGGTGCTTGGAGATAAGAAATGTACCAAAAACTCAGTTATTAGAACAAAAGCTGCTTTAGTAGGCCCATTGATCTAGGTTAGTGGGCAATCTGAAGAGACGGGGATACAGCCAGGATGACCCATAGTGCCCCTAAAGGATTATTGGACTAAGGAAATTTCCAATTTCCAAAGTTTAGAAATCCACTCTCTTTATAACTGATATCTTCAGATGTACTTGGATGTAAAGGGTGAGGACAAAGATGCTGTTTGTTCCCATAGGCCTGCTTACAGACTCTCCCCAGAGGGGGTTGAAGTGAAAGAAGCTCTTGCTCAAAAACCTGGTGGAGGAGGTACGAGACGCCAGCCCTCAGGGAAATGTGAAACATGCAGGTATGAGTGGTCCATGCTTAGGAATGTTAGAACAGAGGAGGCCAACCAGGGGTGCCAGCTAGAGATGAGCTCTCTGGAATGGTGTTCAGTCATGTGGAAATCACACCAGATTGGGACTTAAGGTGGAGTCTGGCAGTGGTAGGATAGAATGCTTTAAAAGTGGAGGGTGCCAGGTGAATGAATCAGGGATCCAAGGGGTGGGTCACATTTGGTGAGAGCTTGATGTCACGAGACAGTGTAGGGCCAGGTGAGGCCATCACTTTTCTTTACTCTGTTGACACTAAAAGACAAGAATGAAAGGCTGGGAATCAGTTCTTACCATCATTTCTCTGGGCTACAGCAGTCGTTCATTATTCATGAATAATATGTCTTTTTCATTGAATTCATGGGTCTCTGTGTTCTTTTCTGTCATTCATTTAAAGTAGATAAAAATATTTTCTGTTGATTCTTTGAAAATTTCAAATAAAGTGCCTTTGATATGTGATCCTCAATGATCTTTCAGTCATTCTCTGCTTAATAAGGGTGCTGATTCTCAAAACTCGAGATGCAATTTGCTCCAGCAGGTAGGATTCTGGTCTCCAAGTTCAGAGTGAGTTTTTGGAATCTGCTGAGAGAGTTTTGCAGGATGAGAATTGCTTTCCAGATTAACCCTGACACAAAGGCTTGGCCCAAAGACCAAGACTCCATATGGGAAGGTAACTGAGAAGCAAGTATTGTGGGATTCTGTTCTGCTGCAAGTACCCTGAACTTTCTTAATTATCCAATCCAGAATCTCAGAGACCAGAGATTTTGAGACAGAGTCCTCTCTCTATACAGCCTCTGGATTTGACTGTGGGCTTTGAAGCAAAGCTCTAGTTGCCATTCTGACTCCTCCTCATTCTATCCTGTTCCCCTAGAAGGGTGATGTTCTGCTGTACCTTGTGTGTTCCCCTTTGAGGCATCTCTGTAAATGATTTAGTAAAGTGGGAAGAGGAACAGACAACAAGAATCAGTTCATTTTGGAGGCTAAGTCTAGGGATCACCTACCCAATATTGATAGAAGCAGATTCCTCTGGAGGGAGTGGAGAAACAGAGTGTAGAAAATTAAATAAATACAGGTTCCTCTTCAAAGGGACTTTCCTCCCAGTCTAATTAAGAATAGATAGTAACCTCTCTTAGAAGCAAAATTTACTCAGAGACCTGTGCTGATATTCTTAAATTCTGTTAGCCGTAATAAAGAAATCAATATACTCTGTTCTTAGCTCTTACATTTTAGCCTAGATATTTGCCCTGGCATGCCTGAACCAGTCCAAGCAAGCATTAGGTCACAGCCTACTCCTTTTCCTTATTTGGAAGTGTTTTTGCCTCTCTCAGCATTCCATAAGTTACTTCCTCTCTTCCTTTGTTCTCCTCTGCGTTTGCCTCTTTTGAGAAGTTCTAAGTTGCTAGCCATTCGGGTAGAGTACAGAATGTGAGGTCCTGTTCCAGCCAGTGGAAACTGGACACAGCAGAAGGGTGGACACTTCAGGTTATAAATGACCCTGTCTCCTTTGTTCGTGTGTGCTCTCATGGCGAGACTGCTAGCGAGTGGCACCCTTTCTGCAGAAAGTAAACTAGCCTTGCTGAGAGATACTTTGTCTCAGTGTTGATTTTTGTGATACCAAGCATCGGTTCCCAACACAGAGGATCCCCACATGACAAATGAGCTGGAAAGTAGAAAAATGTCCCATAAAGTCAAGCTTGAACTCACTCATGGGCTACTAGAGTTTCTCAGAAGAAAGAGAGATTTCTCCATCATCTGAACCACACACCTGCCTCAGGCACCTGGGCACTGAGAATGTTCATTAGCTGAGTTCCTGACTTGGATCACATAGCTATGGAACAGTCACTATGGTCTTTTGAGGTTCGTGGAGGAGACACAAAGAAGAAAGAGCCTGCACCTAAAAGCACCTCTCTTACCCTCCAGCCTAGCAGATCTCACCACCCATCATGGACCATCTGCACCCCTCCACTCTTCTCTGAGCCTTGCTATTTTCTAACTCCAACCTTTCAGCACATAATATATATTTTAGTGCAATTCTCTACTTATTCGTATAACCAGAGCTCGATTCAGCTTTAGCCCTTAAAAATTGTCAGCTTTGATCCTACTAATTCTATAGCTTTGAAAGTCTGGAGTTATTCCAGGAATTTTTGTTAATTCCTGGGGAATTATACTCTCATCCTGCTTTGTTTTCAACTCTGGCTTCTGTTTTTGCCTTGTGTAAAGCAGACATAGAGTTCAGCCACGGCTTTCAGGTTCTCCCCAAAACATCCACTTTTACAAGAAAGCTTTAGTGACCAATGTGGCCTCTGTTAAAGATACTTTAAGATTGGCAAAAAGGGAGAGAGGTCCCCATGGCAAGTATTTTTTTAAGAAAGTTTTAAAAATTTTGTGGCAAAATATACATAACAAAAATTTACCACCTGTGATACTGTGATTTATAATAAGAAATATATATTTTAGACTTTGTCCCCAGTTCCTGGCACAGAGCTCCTTAAACCCTGGTAATTTCCTGAGCAATAGAGGTGCTAGGAGAATCTTTTGTTGTAACAGTTGGTCTTTGGCATCAGTCTCTGACAGAGCTCTTAATCCCTTGAACATTCCTGGGTGATAGGGGTGTCTTTTGTTTTAATGAGGTGACTCTTGATGGGCTCCTATACAGAGGTTGGTCACCAGAAAGATTAGGGGATGATTAGAAGCTTGAAATTTTCATCCCCACCACCCATTCTCTGGGAAGCAGGGAGGGACTGGAGACTGTTAATAATGGATCATGCCTATGTGATGAAGTGAGATAGAGGGCTAGCCTGATTAAGCCCACCAAATGTAACCTGCCTTCCTTGCTTTTCATCGCTGACTTCTGGTTGACCTGAAAACCTATATAGCTAAAAATCACATAGCCAAACAATATCTTAGTAAACTCCCACTAGCTCCTTACGGATAACGTTTCTAATATACATGTCACTATGGTAATGGCTGCTTAAAGTTGTTTCTCAGGAGCTAGGGGGAAGCTCTTGTCCAGTTTGAACCAGTTGAGACCACTGACCCTTCGGCTGGGCCTGCACAAGTGTGCGAGATGTCAAAGGGCCAAAAATTCCTCCCTCAGCTCATGCTAACACTGCCATTTTCTGAATATGTGTCCTCTAAACTGCCAAGAACCCTGGCTATGCTTGTGCAGACCACCGATTTCCTCATTTTTCCCACCTCCAGTCACCTTTCCCCATGCCTTAGACCACCCCACTTCTTTATCCCATGAATGTCCTCGAGCCCTGTATTCAGGGAGGTAGATTCCAGAGCTGTTCTCCCATCCCCTCGCTGGGCCGCCCTGCAAATAAAGTGTTTTCTCTATGGCAAAACTTGTCATTTCAGTGATTGGCTTACTGAACAAGGGGGAAGAGTAAGCCTGGTTCGGTATCCGAAGCCTCTATAAAAATCCCTGAATTAAAAGAGTTCAGAGAGCTTCCAGGTTGGTGAATGTATCCACATGCTGGGAGGGTGGTGCACCTCAACTCCATGGGGACAGACTCTTGTTCTCGGGACCCTTCCAGACCTTGCCCTATGTCTCTCTTCATATGGCTATTTATTCGTGTCCTTTATCACACATCGTTTATTATAAGATAAGCCCGTAAATGTGGGTAAGTGTTTTTCTGAATTCTATGAGCTGTCTTAGCAAATTATTGAACCTGAGGATGGGACTGTGGAAGCCCAGATTTTATAGCCAGCTGGTCAGAAGTACAGGTGACAATGTGGGACTTGTGATTGGCATCTGAAGTGGAGCAGTCTTGTGGGACTGTGTCCTTAACCCTTGGGGTTTGTGCTAACTCTTTAGTGTCAGAATTAAATTGAATAGTAGGTATCAGAGAATTGGTTCGTGTTGGAGAATTGATTGTTGGGGGGAACCCCCACCCCTATATATCTGCTGACAGAAATGAAGCATTAAGAGGAAAAACAGTTGATTTTTCCTTATTTACCATTTTAGCTGTTTTATTATGTGTACAGTTTAGTGGCATTAAGTACATTCTCACTGTTGAGAAACCATGGCCACTATTCTCTCTCAAACTTTTCATTTTGCAAAAAATAAAACTTTGTACCCATTAAACAATAACTCATCTATTCCTCCTTACCTGCAGGCCCTGGCAACTACCATTTTACTTTCTGACTCTATGAATTTGAAGAACTATATAGTATTCATCCTTTTGGTACTGCCTTATTTCACTTAACATAATGTCTTCAAGGTTCACTTAGCGTGACAGCCTTGAGGTTCATGTTGTAGCATGTGTCAGAATTTTCTTAAGGCTGAAGAATATTCCATTGTAGGTCTATGCCACATTTGGTTTATCTGTTCATCTCTTGAACTCTTGGGTTGCTTCCACCTTTTGGCTATGGACTTGGGTGTATGAATACCTTTTTGAGACCCTGCTTTTAATTCTTTTGGGTATATCTCCTTAAGTGAAATTGCTAGATCAATGGCTGGGCATGGTGGCTCACGCCTGTAATCCCAGCACTTTGGGAGGCTGAGGCAGGTGGATCACTTGAGGTTAGGAGTTCAAGACCAGCCTGGCCGACATGATGAAACCCCGTCTCTACTAAAAAATACAAAAATTAGCTGAGTGTGGTGGTGGGCGCCGGTAATCTCAGTTACTCAGGAGGCTGAGGCAGGAGAATTGCTTGAGCCCGGGAGGCGGAGGCTGCAGTGAGCCAAGATGGCGCCTCTGCAGTCCAGCCTGGGTGACAGAACAAGACTGTCTCAAAAAGAAGAAGAAAGAAATTGGTAGATCATATGATAATTCTATTTTGAATTTTTTGAGAGACTGCCATGCTGTTTGCCATAGCAAATGCCCCATTTCACATTCCCACCAACGGGGCACAAGGGCTCCAATTTCTCCACATCCTTGCCAACATTTGCTTTTTTCTTTTGTTTTTCTTTTTTGATAATAGCTATCCTAATGGGTGTAAGGTGGTACCTCATTATGGTTTTGATTTGCTTTCTCATAATCACTGGTAATGTTGAGCATCTTTTCATGTGTTTACTGGGCATCTGTATATCTTTTTGGAGGAATGTCCAAGTTCTATTTTTTTATTTTTTTTTATTTTGAGATGGAGTTTTGCTTGTTGCCCAAGTTGGAGTGCAATGGCACGATCTTGGCTCACTGCAACCTCTGCCTCCTCGGTTCAAGCATTTCTCCTGCCTCAGCCTCCCAAGTAGCTGGAATTACAGGCGTCTGCCACCACGGCTGGCTAATTTTTTTTTTTTTTTAATTTTTAGTAGAGATGGGGTTTTACCACATTGGCCAGGCTGGTCTTGAACTCCTGATCTCAGGTGATCCACCCGCCTCAGCCTCCGAAAGTGCCGGGATTACAGGCGTGAGCCACCATGCCTGGCCTATTTTTTTTTTTTTTTTTTTTGAGATGGAGTCCCACTCTGTTGCCCAGCTGGAGTAAAATGGCGCCATCTTGGCTCACTGCAACCTCTACCTCCTGGGTTCAAGTGATTCTCCTGCCTCAGCCTCCTGAGTAGCTGGGATTACAGGTGCCCGCCACCACACCTGGCTGATTGTTTATTTGTTTATTTATTTAGAGACGGGTTTCCCCATGTTGGCCAGGCTTGTCTTGAACTCCTGACCTCAGGTGATCCACTCCCTTGGCCTCCCAAAGTGCTGGGATTACAGGTGTGAGCCACCACGCCTGGCCTTGGCCTATTTTTTAAATCTGATTTTTTTGTTGTTGTTGTCATTGGTGAGTTGTAGGATTTCTATATATATTCTGGCTATTAATCCTTTATCAGATATATGATTTGCAAATATTTTCTTCTGTTTTATGTGTTCCTATTTCACTCTGTTGATTTTGTTCTTTGATACCCAGAAGTTTTAAATTTTGATGTAGTCTATCTTTTTCTTTTGCTACCTGTGTTGTTGGTGTCATGTATAAGAAATCGTTGCCAAATCCAATGTCATGAAGTATTCCTCCTATGTTTTCTTCTAAGAGTTTAAGTTTCTTCCAAGATTTATATTTAGGTCTTTGATTTATTCTTAGTTAATTTTTGTTTATGGTATAAGATAAGAGTCCAACTTCATTATTTTTCATGTGGATATCCAGCTTTTCCAACACCATTGTTGAAAAGACTGCCCATTCCCCTTTGAATGGTCTTGACACTTTTGTCAAAAATCATTAGACTGTATAAGCAATGGTTTATTTTTGGCTCTCTATTCTATTTCATTGTTCTACATGTCTGTCTTTATGCTTGCATGACACTGTTTTGGTTACTGTACAGTAAGTTTTGAAATCAGGAAATATGGGATCTCCCACGTTGTTATTTTTACAAGATTGTTTTGGCTATTTGGGGTCCCTTGGGATTGCCTATGAATTTTAGTATCTAAAAAAAATCTATAAAAATAGTCATTGAGGTTGGGACAGGGATTTCATTGAATTTGTGTATCACTTTCGGTGGTATTGACACCTTAACAATATTAAGTTATCCAATCCATGAACACAGGATGTCTTCCCGTTTATTGGTGTCTTCTTTAATTTCTTTAAAATACATTTTGTAGTTTTCAGTGTGTCTTTTGCTTCCTTGGTTTACCTTATTCCTAAGTGTTTGCATCTTCCTGATGCTATGCAAATGGAATTGTTTTCTTAATTTCCTTTTCAAATTGTGCATTGTTGGTGTTTAGAAACCCAACTGATTTTTGTGTTTTGATTTTGTATCCTGCAGTTTTGTTCAATTTGTTTCTATCTTCTAACATTTTTTAAAATACAGTTTATAATAAAGTAATACCTGTCTGTATTTTTAAAATTGGAAAATACAGAAAGGAAGAAGGAAATAAACAGCCATTATCCAATCACAATTATGTTTTACATTTTGGTGTCTTTCCATTTAGCTGGTTTTCTATCCTTTTTAAAAACCGAGCTGCAAAGTAACATTTATATATCCTGTCATATGAACCTCCCTTTACTGTTTTGAGGATTTTGATGGCTATATGACATTTAATTAAGTGGACATGCTATGGTTTACATAACCATTACTTTGCAATAGGAGGACTTTTAGGTTGCTTCTAATTTATCACTGTTAACTAATACTGTAGGGAATAATTTTGTACATGAAATTTTTCTATGTTTAAAATTGTTTCCCTAATACAAGGTTTATTAATTATAAAAACAGTTCCAACAATTTAGAATTGTGAAAACCGAAAGTGTTTCCTTCTCCCCTTGTCTTTTTCTTCAGTGGTAACCACTGTTAACAATTTAGTATGTATTTTTTTTCTTAGTTTTAAAATTGTCATAAAATACACACAACATAAGTTTTACCATCTTAACCATTTTTAAGTGTACAGTTAAGTGGTGTTAAGTTGTGAATCCAAAGTATTTGAGACAGATCTCAATCAACGTGGAAAGTTTATTTTGCCAAGGTTAAACAGCCTCAGCAAGTTCCGACAATGATGCAGGATTTTTCTCCGCCCCTTTGCTGGACTCACGGCAGGGGTGCCCCATCTACTTGGCCTGCCGCACTCAGCCCTCTTGTGGGAGGGAGTACGTGAGTGGGTGAGTGAGTGTGGGATCCGGCTGGCTGCTCTGGGTGCTGATACGGGAGCAAGCTCTACGCAGCACCCATGGCCAGACCAGGCATGTTGCCTTGAGGGGAATGCCGTGGCACCCAGACAAGGGTGCCTGTGACCCTGAAGCCCCAGAGGCTGTGTTCATGTGCTAATTAGCTCTTTTAGTTCTGCTGCCCACAGCCTGATGGACCACAGATTGTTAGCGGCTCAGTCGGCCCCTGGCCCTGTTGCGTGGGGTGGCTGCACTCTGCCAGCGAGGGCAAAGGGCCAGTGTGACAACCCTTCTGGGTACCCACACTTGGTGGGGCCTGAGCTCTTATCCAGCGTCCAAGAAGAATGAGGTCACACTTGCCGATTGAAGGACGGTGGGGGCAGAGAATTTTATTGAGTGATGAAAACAGCTCTCAGCGGAGAGGGGAGTTGGAGAGGGGATGGGAAGGGCCGCTCGTTGTCTTCCCCTGAAGTCAGGAGGTCTTTGTCCCGAAGTCAGGCCATTTCTTCCCTGAAGTCAGGCTGTCTCCTCCCCAAAGTCAGGCCATCTCCCCTCTACTGACTGAGTCTGGGGTCTTTAGAGACACATGATGGGGGTGGCACAGGCTGTAGGTAGTACAGGAAAAAGCAACATTTGTTTGGTTAAAAGGCATTATTCAGAAAGATCCAATTGGGAGAGAGCAGGCAAACAGGAATAGAAGGTCTCACTCTGCTCTGTGAGTTTCAGGCTGTTTTGGGCTGGAAGGTGGGGTTTCACCAGGGACCCACCCTATCTGACTATGATTTCTCTGCCTCCTGTCTCTATTAATAATGTGCCCAAGGTGGTTGGGGCATGGCCTAGTTTTATACATTTTAGGGAGACATGAGATATCAATAAAGTACATGTAAAATGTACATTGGTTCAGTCTGGAAAGGCCAGACAACTTGAAGGAGGGGGCGCTTCCAGGTTATAGGTAGATTAAAAAAATTTCTATTTGGCAATTGGTCGAAAGAGTTATGTTATTATCTAAAGACCTGGAATCAGTAGAAAGGAACGTCTGGGTTGTGATGATTAGGAGTTGTGGAGACCAAAGTTTTATCATGCAGATGAAGCTTCCAGGTACCAGGCTTCAGAGAGAACAGATTGTAAATGTTTTTCATCAGACTTCAACAGTCTGTTCTATTCAGTAATTTTGAAAGGGAAGAGGGCATAATGAGACATGTCTGCTCCCTGCCTCCCATTATGGTCAGAACCAGTCCCCCTGGTTAGCCTTGGAATGCTCTTGCCAAGAGAAGTCCATTCAGATGGTGGGGCAGGAGGTGGTTAGAATTTTATTTTTGGTTTACAAAGTACATTCACATTGTTCTGCAACCATCACCACCATCTGTCTCCAGAACACTGTTTATCTTGCTGAACTCAAACTCAATACCCATTAAACAGTAACTCCCTGGAATTCTCCCCTTCCCTCAGCCTCTGGCAACCACTATTCTACTTTCTGTTTCTATGAATTAGACTATTCTAGAAATCTCATATAAGTGGAATTATACAGCATTTCTGTTTTTGTAACTGGTTTATTTCACTTTGCAAAATGTGTTCAAAGTTCAAACTCATGTTGTAGCATGTGTCAGAATTTCTTTTTAAAGCTGAATAATATTCTATTATATGTATTTATCACATCTTGTTTACCCATTCATCTGTCACTGAACACTTGGATTTCTTCCATCTTTTCCCTATTGTGAATAATGCTGCTGTGAACATGGGTATATGGCGATCTCCTTGAGACCCTGCTTTTCAATTCTTTTTGGGTCTATACCCCAAAACAGAATTGCTTTATCATATGGTAATTCTATTTTTAACTTTTTGGGAAACTGCCATACTGTTTTCCAATGTGACTTCACCATTTTCCATTCCCACCAATAGTGCACAATGGTTTCAATTTCTACACACCCTTGCCAACACTTTTTATTTTCTGCTCATTTTTTAAATAGTAGCCATCATAATGGGTATGAAGTAGCATCTCATTATCATTTCAATTTTAATTTTTGCTTTTTTTTTTTTTTTTGAGACAGGGTCTCTCTCCCATTGCCCAGGCTGGAGTGCAGTGGCACAATCATAGCTCACCGCAGCCTTGACTTCCCAGGCTCAGGTGCTTTTCCTACCTCAGCCTCCTGAGTAGCTGGACTTCAGGCATGCACCACCCCACCCAGCTAATTTTTGTATTTTTGGTAGAGACCGGGTTTTACCCTGTTGCCCAGGCTGGTCTTGAACTCCTGGGCTCAAGCCATCCTCTCACTTTGGCCTCCCAAAGTACTGAGATTGTAGGTATGAGCCACCATGCCTGGCCTGATTTGCATTTTCCTAATGATTAGTGATTGTTCTAACAGTTTTTGTTTGTTTGTTCGTTTGTTTTTTAGTGGACTCTTCAGGGTTTCCTACATTAAATGTGTAATCTGAGAAGAGAGATAATTTTATGTGTTTTTTTTCCAATTTAGATGCTTTTTATTTCTTTTTCTTACCTGCTTGCTCCAGTTAGGACTTCCAGTACTATGTTGAATAGAAGTGGCAAAAGCAGGCATCTTTATTCTTGTTTGTGATCCTAGACCTTTTGGTCTTTAACCATTTAACGTGTTAGCTGTAAGCTTTACATATATGGCTTTTATTATATTGAGGTAGTTCTCTTTTATTTCTAGTTTGCTGAGTACTTTTTATCATGAAAATATGTTGAATTTTGTCAAACGTTCTTTCTGAATCAATTGAGATGATCATGTGGTTTTGTGTTTAATTCTATTTATGTGGAGAAATGCATTTTTTTTTTTCGAGATGGGAGTCTCACTCTGTGACTCAGGCTGGAGTGCACTGGCGCGATCTCAATTCACTGCAACCTCCATCTCCTGGATTCAGATTCTCCTGCCTCAGCCTCTCGAGTAGCTGGGATTACAGGTGCCCGCCATCACTCCTGGCTAATTTTTGTGTTTTTAGTAGAGACAGGGTTTCACCATGTTGGCCAGGCTGGTCTCAAACTCCTGACCTCAGGTGATCCGCCCACCTTGGCCTCCCAAAGCGTTGGGATTACAGGCATGAGCCACTGCACCTGGCCGCATTCATTGTTTTTTGTATGTTAAATCATCCTTGCACTCCAGAAATAAATCCCACTTGGTCGTGGTATGTAGTAATTTTAAAGCATTGTTGAATTCTGTTGGCTAGTATTTTGTTAAGGATTTTCACTTCAGTGTTTACCAGGGATACTGGTCTGTGTGGTTTTCTTTTCTTGTAGTGTATTTGTTTGGCTTTTATATTAGGGTAATGCTGGTCTTATAGAATAAGTGGGGGGTGTCCTCTCTTCAGTCTTTTTAACAGTTTAGGAGGATTGCTGTTAATTTTTCTATAAATGTTTGGTAGAATTTACTAGTGAAACCATCTTGTTCTAGGGTTTTGTTTTTTTTTTTGGTTGTTGTTGAAAGGTTTTTGGCTATAGATTCAATCTCCTTATTAATTGTAGTCTATTCCAGTTTTCTGTTTCTCCAGATTCACTCTTGGTAGATTGTGTATTTCTAGGATTTTATTCATTTCATCTAGTTATCTAATTTTTCATCATATAGGTATTCACATTACTAGCTTATGATCCTTTTTATTTCTGTAAAAGCAGCAGCAATGTCTCCTTTCATTTCTGATTTTAGTTATTTGAGACTTCTCTCTTATTTTCTTAGTCAGTTGGCAGTTTTGCTGATCTTATGGAAGAACCAACTCTTGTTTTTTAATTTTAAAAGTTGTTTTCTATTCTCTATTTTGTTGATCTTTGCTCAAATCTTCATTATTTCTTTTCCTCTGCGAGGTTTCAGTTTCATTTGTTATTTTTCTAGTTCCTTAAGGTGTAAAGTTACATTGTTGATTTGGGTTCTTATTTGGTATGCAAGCAATTACAGCTGTAAATTTCCTTTTTAGTACTATGTTTGCTGCATCCCATACATTTTGGTACATTTGTTTTTATTTTCATTTGTCTGAAGATATTTTCTAATTTCCCTTGTGATTTTTTTCTTTTGACCCATTGTTATTTGAGAGTGTATTGTTTTGTTCTCTCTTTTGTTTTCTTTAGAGATGAGCTCTTGCTCCATCATCCAAGTTGGAGTGCAGTGGCATGATCAAAGCTCACTGCAGCCTCAAATGCCTGGGCTCAAGTGATCCTTCCACTTCAGCCTCCTGAGTATCTGGGATTAAGGAATGTGTTGTTTAATTTTCATGTATTTGTGGATTTTTCAGCACAACTTTTGCTATTGGTTTCTTTCCATTGTGATTGGAAACAATATTTTGTATGATTTTAATCTTTTAAAATTCATTAAGACTTGTTTTGTGGCCTAACACATCCTCTATCCTGGAGAATGTTTCATAATGCACTTTAAAAAAAGTATATTCTATTGTTAGGTGGATTGTGTTGTTTATGTCTGTTAGGGCCATTTCGTCTATAGTGTTGTTCAAGTTCTTGTATTTCCTTATTGATCTTCTGTCTAGTTGTTCTATCCGTTATTGAAAGGGTAGTACTGAAGTCTCCTACTATTTTTTCAAGTTGTCTATTTCTGTCTTCAATTCTGTCAATGTTTGCTATGTATATTTAGGCTCTAATATTTATTGCATAAATGTTTTTAATTGTTATATCTTCTTGGTGAATTGACCCTTTCACCATTATATAATATTCTCCTGTTTCTTGTAACAGTTTTATTTTTACTTAGTGTCTATTTTTAGGCTGGGAGTGGTGGCTCACGCCTGTAATCCCACACTTTGGGAGGCCAAGGCAGGTGGATCACCTGAGGTCAAGAGTTCGAGACCAACCTGGCCAACATGGCAAAACCCCTTCTCTACTAAAAAATACAAAAAAAAACTTAGCTGGGTGTGGTGGCACGCACCCATAGTCCCAGCTGCTTGGGAGGCTGAGACACGAGAATTGCTTGAACCTGGGAGGTGGAAGTTGCAGTGAGCCGAGATCACGCCACTGCACTCCAGTCTGGATGACAGAGTGAGACTCCATCTTAATTTTAAAAAGAAAAAAAAGTCTATTTTTTTCCCTCTGTGTTTCTCTCTGTCTCTCTCTTTTCTTTCTGGAATTCCAATAGCTTATAACTTGGTCCACTTGATGTTGTTCCATATGCTCCCTAGGCTCTGTTCACTTTTCTTCATTGTTTTTTTCTTTTTGCTTCTCAGACTTGATAATTTCAAATGATGTTTCTTCAAGTTCACTGATTCTTCTGCCCATTCAATTCTGATTTTGAACCCCTCTAGTTAATTTTCCAATTCAGTTAGCTGATTTTTCAACTCTAGGATGTCTGTATGGTTCTTTTTAAAAATAATTTGTCTCTTTGCTGATATCCTATTTTGTTCATGTATTGTTTTCCTGCTTCCTTTAATTCAGTGTCTCATTGAGTATATTTAATAAAGACCATTGTTTTAAAGTCTTTGTTTAGTAAGCCTGAAACCTGTGTTTCTTTAGAGTTGGTTTTTGGAGATTTATTTTGTTGACTTTGATCAGGCCATATTTTCCTGTTTCTTTGTGTGCCTTGTGATTTTAAGAAGGCGTTTGAAAAAACAGCCACCTGTCCTAAGGGACCTAAAATCTCCCCTTTCTACCTATGCAGTGCTCCACTCTGCTGGTTTGTGCTGCTCTGTCTTGGTATTCCCCCAAATATTTTAAATTATTTTTTTCATTTTCATGTAATTTTTTATTTTTTGAAATGGAGTCTCACTCTGTCACCCAGGCTGGAGTGCAGTGGCACGATCTCGGCTTACTGCAACCTCCGCCTTTTGGGTTCAAGCAATTCTCCTGCCTCAGCCTCCTAGTAGCTGGAACTATATGCATGTACCACCACGCCTGGCTAATTTTTGTATTTTTAGTAGAGATGGGGTTTCACTATGTTGGCCAGGCTGGTCTCGAACTCCTGATCTCAGGTGATCTGCCTGCCTCAGCCTCCCAAAATGCTGGGATTACAGGCATGAACCACCATGCCCGGCCTATTCTTTTCATTTTCATACAGAGCAACTCAACTCTCCCATGACCATACCCAATCTAATCACTTAAACCCATCTTTATACGGAGAATCGGTGAGGCCTCTGTTTTGCATATCCAAACACTTAAGGGAGCAGTAGGAATTCTGTAGAGCAATATTTTTTGTTTGTTTTGAATTACATCTATGGATATTTCCTCTATAAATGGTTTCCTAATTTTTCCCTTTTCAGTTTTTTCACCAAAATTCTTATTGGCCTCTCAATAACTCTTATTGTTGTTGTTGTCAAGACAGAGTCTTGTTCTGTCCTCCAACCTGGAGTGCAGTGGTATGATCTCGACTCACTGCAACCTCCATCTCCTGGATTCATTCGATTCTCTTGCCTCAGCCTCCTGAGTAGCTGGGACTACAGTTGCGCACCACCATGCCCAGCTAATTTTTGTATTTTTAGTAGAGACAGGGTTTCACCATGTTGGCCAGGGTGGTCTCAAAATCCTTACATCAGGTGGTCTACCCGCCTCAGCCTCCAAGGTGCTGGGATTACAGGTGTGAGCCACCACACCAGCTTAAATAATTCTTAAAATTAGTAATTTTTGGTAAAATTTTTAAATATATTTTGTATAAGTTTATATCTAGGTATTTTATCATATAAACATTTAAATATATGAATATATATTTATATTTTAAAATCACATATATATGACTAAAGCAGAACATATATATATCTGCTTTAGTTCTGAATATTAGTCTGGTATATAATTAAGTTGTAACATTATCAGCTTTGTGATATAAAATTTTAAGCTGCTGAAATGAAACTCTATCCTTTCTTTAGTTTGATTTCTTCACTTACCTGATAATTCTAATTATCTTCCAGTTGTTCTGCTTCTCTGGCTGAACCCTGACGGATACATACCCATATGTTGAGGCTTTGCCAGAGGTGACAAGTCTGTTTTCTTTTACAACATCAGCTTCTCTAAAGTCCTCTGACCCCCAAAGGACTTATACTTCAAGACTCCCCTACTCTTCTTTCACTGTAAGATTTTTCCCCTGTCCCTCTACACATCCTGTCATCTCTGGCATTACTATTTATGGCCTGATTCTGCCTTGAATGACCCTGAAGTCCCCAAGACTCACATGTGTAAAAAATTTCTTAGTTTGATTTTGATCAGCTCCTAAGAGAGAATTTCTAGGTGAGAGAAGGAACTGTAAAAACGGTCCATCAACTGCATTCTTCAAAAATGTTGATGTCATAATAGGCACAGAAATGCTGGGGAACCTTTATAGATTCAAGGAGACTAAGGACATATAATAACTAAATATAGTATGAGGTTCTAGACTGGAACATGTACTGAAAGAAAAGAAGGGCTATAAAGAACATTTCTGGCTAAATTGACACAAATGAAATACAGACAGTAGATTAAATAAAATTCCATGTTTCTGTTCAATTTACCAACATCGATAACTATACTGGGGGTAGGAAACAGAACATCCTATTTCTTAGGAAATACTGAAATATTTAGGGGTAAAGGGTAAGATGTATGCAACTTACAATGTGATATGTCTTGGATTTGTGTCCCTGAGAAAATTTCCAATTGTAAACCCCAGTGTTGGAGGAGGGGCCTGGTGAGAGGTGACTGGATCATCGGAGCGAATTTCCCCCTTGCTGTTCTCGTTACAGTGACTGAGTTCTTATGACATCTGGCTGTTTAAAAGTATGTGGCACCTCCCTGTCTCTCTGTTTCCTGAGACGTGCCCAGCCATGCTTCCTGTACAGCCTATGGAACCACGAGCCAATTAAACCTCTTTTTTTTTTTTTTTTTTTTTTGAGACAGCTTTTTGCTCTGTAGCCCAGGCTGGAGTGCAGTGGTGCAATCTAGGCTCACTGCAAGCTCCGCCTCCCGGGTTCACGCCATTCTCCTGCCTCAGCCTTCCAAGTAGCTGGGACTACAGGCGCCCGCCACCACGCCTGGCTAATTTTATTATATTTTAAGTAGAGACGAGGTTTCATCATCTTGGCCAGGCTGGTCTTGAACTCCTGACCTCGTGATCCACCCGCCTTGACCTCCCAAAGTGCTGGAATTACAGGTGTGAGCCACCGCGCCTGGCCCAATTAAACCTCTTTTCTTTATAAATTACCCAGTCTCAGGTAGTTCCCTATAGCAATGTGAGAACGGACTAATGCACAATTGCCAAATGTTTAGACAAAAGAGTAGTAACGTAGATATATGTAGAGAAAGCAAATGGAGGCTGGGCACAGTGACTCAGGCCTGTAATCTCAGCACTTTGGGAGGCCAAGGCGGGTGAGGCCAGGAGTTTGAGACCAGCCTGGCCAACATGGAGAAACTCCATTTCTACAAAACATACAAAAAATTAGCGGGTGTGGGGGTGCATGCCTGTAATCCCAGCTACTCAGGTGGCTGAGACATGAGAATCGCTTGAACCTGGGAAGCGGAGGTTGCAGTGAGCCAAGATCGCGCCACTGCACTCCAGCCTGGGTGACAGAGTAAGACTGTGTCTCAAAAAAATAAATAAATAAAAATAAAACTAAAAAAAGAAAAAAAGTGGAACAAAATGCTACAATTTGGTGAATCTGTGTCACAGGAATAGCAGTGCTTTTTAGTATTCTTGCAACTTTTCTGTAAATTTGAATTTTTCCAAATAAAAAGTTTTAAAAAATGGCCCATGACTCTGTTCCCCTCAATTTTATCTCCCCTTTGAGAGACTCTGACTTCAGTCTCAACATTGCCCCCAGATGTGTGCTAGTCCAACTTGAAATGTTATACCAGTTTCTGTCTCAGGCAAGAGCAGTCGGATATACTTATCACAACTGAGTTTCTAACATCCATGTATACAGAATATAGAAAAGGAACACAAGGGGAAATTAAGTAAAAAACATACATTACAGGCCGGGCGCGGTGGCTCATGCCTGTAATCCCAGCACTTTGGGAGGCAGAGACGGGTGGATCACCTGACATCAGGAGTTCGAGACCAGCCTGGCCAGCATAGCGAAACCCCATCTCAACCGAAAATACAAAAAATTAGCCAGGCATGGTGGCGGTGCTTGTAATCCCAGCTACTCGGGAGACTGAGGCAGAAGACTTGGTTGAACCTGGGAGGCGGAAGTTGCAGTGAGCCAAGATCGCACTGCACTCCAGCCTGGGCAATAGGAGCAAAACTTCATCTCAAAAAAAAATTAAAAAATAAAAAATATACATTACATACAAAAATACAAAATGAATGCAGAAATACAAAGAATCACATTTACGTGATTTCAGATACTGAGAATCAGAGTGTAGATTTTAGAGTCAGTAACATCTGAGTTCTAACCTTTGCTCTGTCACATGATAGTCATGTGACCTGGACCAGGACATTTTACCTCTTTCTACTTCAGTTTTTGTATCTTGGCAGGGACTTGTAAATCCTCAGTGTATGCAGCAAAAAAAAAAAAAAAAAAAAAAAAAAAATACAAAATACAGGGAAAATGTAGGAAAAATATCTAAATATATATATATATATGAAGATTCCTGAAAAAGAGGGGTAAGGAAGAAAACTAGACACCAAATAGTTTCCTACTCCAAGATTTTAGAGACTTCAGTGGTATTCTTGGAGTCTGAAAAGCTTTGTAGTTTCCAAGAATTTCTGGTTGCAATGGGGTAGGGAAAAGATTGGGGAAAGATAGGGACCTTATTTCCTACGGTCCTTCTGAGAGCCATATGCTTTATATGTGTACTCATTTAGTACCTAGGACCTTCTGACACTTTCTTATGTTGCTGGTGGAAGTATAAATTATTAAACCTCTTCATAGGTGTTTTGGCAATATATATCCAAATAAAAAAGTGCAGATGTGCACAATGAAGGTTGTATAGGGATATTCACTGCAATATTGTTCTAATATTGTTCTAAAAGCAAATTCATGAAGGGATCAGTTGAATATTATATATTCATATAAAGACTGCCACCATTGAGAAGAATGAGACGTCTGCATTTTCTGACAAGAAATGATTTCCTATACATATTTACCATAGGAAGCAAGTTGTGTAAGGAATGCTACCTTTTTGGCAGTGTGTTGGGAGAGGTTATGCACACACCTATCTACCTTGCCCAGGTGCTTACTTACACTGTCTCTGGAAGGCCACACAAGAAATTTAACTTTTTCAGAAGAGAAGTTTGGGGACACAGGATGGAGGGAAGCTTTTCAATCTATTCCCTTTTATACATTTTACATTTGTTACCAAGTGCACGTGTTGCCTTTTAAAAATTGGGTTTTTAAACACATTTACCACTACTACTCACCACCAAAACCTTCCCCCCTCAGCTCTTCTCCAGGGCCTTGACTGGCGCTGGCAGCTCACCACCCCTTTTTTCTCCAGCAAGAAGCCACTGGTTTAAGGGAGATATGAGAGGTGGGGTGGATACGCAGGTGGACATTTACTTTTCACTCTATATCTTTTATTTTTATATTTACAATCATGTGCATGTAATACTGTTACAGGAAAAGGGTCCCAATCCAGACCCCAGGAGTGGGTTCTTGGATCTCACTCAGGAAAGAATTCAGGGCAAGTCCGCAGTGCAAAGTGAAAGCAAGTTTATTAAGAAAGTAAAGGGAATAAAAGAATGGCCACTCCATAGACAGAGCAGCCCCGAGGGCCGCTGGTTGCGCATTTTTATGGTTTTTCCTGATGATATGCTAAACAAGTGGTGGATTATTCATGCCTCCCTTTTTTAGACCGTATAGGGTAACTTCCTGACATTGCCATGGCATTTACAAACTGTCCTGGCACTGGTGGGAGTGTAGAGGTGAGGATGACCAGAGGTCACTCTCATCGCCATTTTGGTTTTGGTGGGTTTTGGCCGGTTCCTTTACTGCAACCTGTTTTATCATCAAGGTCTTTATGACCTGTATTTTGTGCTGACCTCCTATTTCATCCTGTGATTAGAATGCCTTAACAGTCTGGGAATGCAGCCCAGTAGGTTTAAGCCTCATTTTACCCAGTTCCTATTTAAGATAGAGTTGCTCTGGTTCACACGCCTCTGCCATTACCTTTTAAAAACAAAAAATCCATTTTTATTTAAAAAAAAAAAACAAAACCTCCAGACCCCTTCTTAACACCTCTTCCCTCACTCCACACCCGCTAGCCCTTTTCATGGGACAAGCTCACCAGCTGGTCCTTCTCCAGCAAAAAGACCAGAGCTTTCTGCTCTTAAGGGAGGGGACTAGGGATTACGGAACAACCCCAGAAGAAAGGTGATGAGTTAACTGTTTAGAAGGTTAGTGTTGGTTCTTTTATTCGATTAAACAGGAATACACATATATCTACCAAAGAATAGGTAAGGGAGAAATAAGAACACTAAAAAAACTCGGAATCGTTAAGTGTGAAGCATATTTGGAGTTAAAAGAACCAAATATTACTAAGTAAGCAGACGCGGGCACGCGCTGCATACCGGGATTTGTAGTCCCTTCCGGGGCGGGGTACAGCGCGCCTGCGCAGAGGGGCCGTCGCTCTTCCGGGCGCATGCGTGCGGCAGCGGCGCCAGGACTGACTGCGCCGTGGAGGCTGCTGCAGTGTTGTGAGTTGGAAGCTGGGGAGCTCGGCATGGCGGTCCCCGCTGCAGCCATGGGGCCCTCGGCGTTGGGCCAGAGCGGCCCCGGCTCGATGGCCCCGTGGTGCTCAGTGAGCAGCGGCCCGTCGCGCTACGTGCTTGGGATGCAGGAGCTGTTCCGGGGCCACAGCAAGACGCGCGAGTTCCTGGCGCACAGCGCCAAGGTGCACTCGGTGGCCTGGAGTTGCGACGGGCGTCGCCTAGCCTCGGGGTCCTTCGACAAGACGGCCAGCGTCTTCTTGCTGGAGAAGGACCGGTTGGTGAGCTGCCGGGGCTCGGCTCAGGCTAGGGAGAGGGGCCGTGGTGAAGTGAGGTGCGGTAGTGGGAGAGCGAATGGGGGCGAACGGAGCCGCGGGGGTGAAAGGAGAGTGGGTTTGAGGGAAGGGGAAAGGGGGAGTGTGGAGATGAGGAGGGAGTAGGGAGAAGGTGGAGTGTGGGGGTGACGGGGTCGTGAGGGGTGAGGAGAGGAAGACTGGGGGCGTGTGAAGAGTGTGGAAGTAAGGAGGTTGGCGATGGCGGGTGAAGGTGAGGAGAGGGTGGATGGGACAGGGCTGCGATGGGAGCCTTACTGGTTTGGAGTCGAATCCTGTGCTGATAAGAAGTGGCTAGGGGCTGTGGTGGTGGTGGTGGTGGTGGTGGTGGTACGTTGGTGGTGGTACGTTGGTGGTACGTTGGTGGTAGAGTAAGGGTGGAAAACCAGGAAGGAGGAGAAGGCCAGGGAGGGCACAAAAGTAAGGGCATAGGTGTGGAAGCTGAGAAAAACAGTTCAGAAGGCCTGCGGAGAAGAGAAGGGAGAAAGGGCTTGGAGGAACTGGATTCTGAATTACCCAGATCTTTACTGGTCCCAGCATACTTTGGTTTGAATAAGCTTATAAAGTTACATGCGGAGGCAGTTACATCTATGTGAAGTCACATCTGGATTCTGTTCTTTCAGGTCAAAGAAAACAATTATCGGGGACATGGGGATAGTGTGGACCAGCTTTGTTGGCATCCAAGTAATCCTGACCTATTTGTTACGGCGTCCGGAGATAAAACCATTCGCATCTGGGATGTGAGGACTACAAAATGCATTGCCACTGTGAACACTAAAGGTGACTATTCAGAGAGAGGGCAATAGGAAGATAAGCTGTTTGGATTCATTCAACAACCATTTTCCGAATATCTTTTCTGTGCTTGGCACTCAGCTGTGTATGAGACATCCTGAGCTGAATAAGAGTTTCCAGCTCCAAGGACCTCCCCTGCGGGGAGAAGACATATATATACAAATAACATAGCAAGATATGGTTCATTTTATAATGGAGAGGTCTGCAAGGTGGATACCCAGAATAGAAATGAAAACAAAAGTCTGCCTAGGGGAGCCAGGGAAGGCCTCACCAAATTTGAGCAAACTTTTAGGGTAGCCATAGGAGTTGAGTGGTCAGGGTGCTGTGGGTGGGGAATGGGACATTTCCAGGAGGGAACGGCATGTGCAAAGGCATGGAGAATTTGGAAAATTCTGATGAGTTAGAATGGTTGAAACTTGGATGGTCTTGGTGATCTGGGAGAAAGTTGTGCAGTACATTTATAGGCTCTGTTGTAAGTATTGAGGCCGATATTGTATGGGACTCTGAGTTTTCATTGATCGTAAGATGTTCCATTAGGAAAGAAAGTTGGTAAATAACTGTGATACACCCAAAATTTTGAAATGCTTTCTGATACATTTTAAGATACAGTGTAGATACTAAAATGTGAGAAAATATGCGTTTTAGAATGGAAAAAGTTGGTGAGATTTTTAATTGATGTGTTCAGTGTGGGCCACTGGACTTTGTTGACAAGACTTATCTCTGGAGGCGGAATGGTGTGGTTTTTCCCCAAGTATACAGCTGCTGATCCATGAGTGATTCAGGTGATGCGTGGGTGAACATTAAAAACCAGTTTTGCAAATATCTTAATGTCTACTAGAAGAACTAGCACATAGAATTTATTATTCAGTTGAAGCTAAATTTATTTTATTTTTATTTATTTTATTTTATTTTTATTTTTGAGACAGGGTCTTGCCCTGTTACCCAGGATGGAGTACAGTGGCACAATATTGGCTCCCTGCAGCCTCCACCTGGGCTCAAGCCATCCTCTCACCTCAACCTCCTGAGTAGCTGGGACTACAGGCACATGCCACCATGCCTGGCTAATTTTTTGTAGAGACGGGTTTTGCCATATTGCCCAGGCTGATCTTGAACTCCTGGACTCAAGTGATCTGCCTACCTTGGCCTCCCAAAGTGCTGGAATTACAGGCTTGAGCCTCCACAGCTGGCTGCTAAATTTATTTAAGTAAACTTTTTTGAATCAATTTTAAGAAAAATCTTGAATAAAGAAAAGTATAGTGTTTAATGGATAGGACAAAAATTGTGATGTTGGCATGCGAATGGCTGGAGTTGAGAAATGCTGGTGTAAGAGAAAAGGGGGCTTTGGGGTCAAATCTGGGTTTAAAATCTTGGCTTGGCCGGGCACGGTGGCTCACGCCTGTAATCCCAGCACTTTGGGAGGCCGAGGCGGGCGGATCACGAGGTCAGGAGATCGAGACCATCCTGGCTAACACGGTGAAACCCCGTCTCTACTAAAAATACAAAAAAATTAGCCTGGTGTGGTGGCAGGCGCCTGTAGTCCCAGCTACTCGGGAGGCTGAGGCGAGAGAATGGCGTGAACCCAGGAGGTGGAGCTTGCAGTGAGCCGAGATTGCGCCACTTCATAGCTCTGTGACTTCATAGCTTTGACACTTTGGCTTGTCGTCTTATCTCCTATTTCCTTCATCTATAAAATCTTATAGATTTTATAAATGGAGATAATAAAGTGTATGTTAGAGGAGTATTGTGAAGACCAAATGGGGAAATGTGTAGATGAAAGTTCTGGACTTATTGTTGAATCATAAGTGGTAGCTCCCTTCCATTGTCTAGGACTTTAATGAGTAAGCCCGGAAGAAAGCTCTGGTCTTCTTTCTAGGATAGTGCAATAAACTTGTGGAAGATTATGAGCAAACAGATTATCTTGCTGATTATGTCTGGGTTCCCAGGGGAGAACATTAATATCTGCTGGAGTCCTGATGGGCAGACCATTGCTGTAGGCAACAAGGATGATGTGGTGACCTTTATTGATGCCAAGACACACCGTTCCAAAGCAGAAGAGCAGTTCAAGTTCGAGGTCAACGAAATCTCCTGGAACAATGACAATAATATGTTCTTCCTGACAAATGGCAATGGTTGTATCAACATCCTCAGGTGAGGGGGTCTAGCTTAGGGGACTGTCATGTCTTTGTGCTGGGTGCTGTGTCAGATATGGAGATGAATTAGATGTGAGCCTATCCTGAAGGAGCTTAAAACACAAATAGTAAGAGAGAATCCTAACCTGTCTTAAGTACATTTGAGCTGTATATTTTATATACTTTATATTTTACTGAGTCCTTACAGAAATTCTAGGGGTTGATGATTTGCTTCTCATTTGACAGATGAGGATCTGAGGGTGAGAGGTTACATCAGTAGTCAGCTAGTGTGTGCTAGAACTGGATGCACCTTGAATTATGGCTAATTCGTACTCCCTTTTTTTTTGTTTTTCGAGACAGAGTTTTGCTCTTGTTGCCCAGGCTGCAGTGCAATGGTGTGATCTTGGCTCACCGCAACCTCTGCCTCCGAGGTTAAGCGATTCTCCTGCCTCAGCCTCCCAAGTAGCTGGGATTAGAGGCATGTGCCACCACACCTGGCTAATTTTGTATTTTTTGTAGTTTAGGGTTTCTCCATGTTGGTCAGGCTGGTCTCCAACTCCCGACCTCAGGTGATTAGCCCGACCTCTGGCTAATTCGTACTCTTAAAGTTTCAACTGAAATATCACTTTGCCTTCAGGGAAGCTCCCCCGCTACCCCAAGGTTAGAGGTAGGTTAGAGGCGTATTTTATATACTTTCTGTAGGAAGCACTTTTCTTTCTATATTGTAATTGCATGTTTATTTGCCTGTGTCTCCTGTTAGACTGTGAATTCCTTGATGGTAGGGATGGTGTTTGCCTTGTTTAGTGTTGAGTCCCTAATGTCTAGTCCTGTACCTGCTCCACGTAGTAGGATCTTAGTAAATATTTGTTCTGTAAATGAATGAAACTGTGGAGCTGAAATTCAGGTCTGTTCAATTCTAGCCTTCCACTATCCCAGGTGAACAATGCAAGACCAAGTGAGATAGGTTCTGTGAGTGGGAGGCCAGGAGTTTGCTGTGAAATTCCACGGAAAGAACAGACATACTATATGGGGGGTTGAAGGAGGGAGCTTGTGAGCTTGATCTTGAAAGATGAGCAGAATTTTAAGAATAAGCAAAAGGGAACCACATAACTGACAAAGCAGGTGTGAGTGAGCATGACTTACTTGGAGAGTGGTTAGGTCAGGGTTGTTGGGGGAGTGGTGGCAGATAAGGGAAATAAGAGAGGGCATGATAATGGGAAGATGAAGTCTAATTTGGGACCAGATTATAAAAGGCCTTTATTTTATGCTTAGTATCTTGGGTTTTATTTTGTAGGCAATGGGGATTCTATAACTTTTTAAGAAAAATCTTTTTATTATAAAACACAGATATTGAAAACCACATAAAATAAATGTATAGCTTAATGAACTCTTATAGGCTTAACTCTTGTGCAACCCCGCCCAAGTTGAGAAGTAGTTCTTTCCAGCCATCCCAGAAGTCCATCCAGGTGATTTGTCCTAATTACAACTTCCTTCCACAAAAGCAAACACTATCCTGACTTTTATAGTGTTTCTTCATAGTTTATCTACCACATGTGCAGCCCCTAGATACCCTAGTTTTGCTCATTAAAAAAAAAAAAAATTGATATGTCTTTTGTATCTCTTAAATTACTCAAAAGAAACTTCCGAAAACGTAGCTGTTGAAAAACCAGACTGTTAACCTGTGGAGATTCTCCCAGTTTGGCTTTTGCTGATTCCATATGCTGTTTATGTGTTGGACTGTTGTGTAAAGAGATGCTGCTTCTCATCTGCGATTTGGTTACCCAGTAGTGTAGTTCATGTAGGGAAGGCAGGATAAAATTTTGATTCTGTTTGTCAGATAATGATTTTGTTTCCTGCTACCTCCAAAGATGAGCAGTTAGGTGTTTTTTTTTTAAAGAATCATTACGGGCTGATGTTTTTAAACATAGTTGGTGTGTTTCCATCTCTTGTAATTGTTACGCCTGTTGAAGCTCAAATTATCCCATCTTTGGCCAATAAGAACCTCTTCAAGTTGGTTCCTGAGACCTTTTTTGACATAATCCCATCGTCTTCTGTTTTTTTGCTCTCTGGTTTGATAAGATGTTCCAAGTTCATCTTGTGCATTTCTTGCCCCAGACCTTTAATCAGAACATTCTCCAAGAAGCCTTAACATTCTGGCTGGGTGCGGTGGCTCACGCCTGTAATCCCAGCACTTTGGCACTTTGGGAGGCCGAGGCGAGTGGATCACTTGAGACCTGGCAATCATAGAGAAACCCTGTCTCTACTCAAAATACAAAAATTATCTGGGCGTGGTGACGCACGTGTATATTCCCAGCTGCTTGGCAGACTGAGGCAGGAGAATCGCTTGAACCCGGGAGGCGGAGGTTGTAGTAAGTTTAGATTGCACCACTGCACTCCAGCATTCTGGACGACTGAGTGAGATTCCACCTCAAAAAAAAAAAAAAAAAAGGAGCCTTACATTCTTTTACTGAGAAATGATACTGAAGTTAGGAATGTTCATTACTGCTGGGTTGGCCTAGGAATTACGTGTGTGTGTGTGTGTGTGTGTATATATATATATATTTAAAGATAAAATACCTTATGAATTCATGTTGATAACTTGCAATCAAAATTGAGGACTCCAGGGATTTTACTAAACCTCTTCTATATTACAAATATATTTCTTTCCTCCCAAATTGAGTATTCTGGTTCTCAAGGGCACAGGGGATCATAGAATTAGAATATCCGATGGTTACTTATTACCTATCTCCCATGGTAAACATATAGATGTCTCAGAACAACAATATTACTGCTGCTACCACCAATGTGATGACTTGAAACAAAAAATGTTTTTGGTTTTTGCATATACTCTTTCCATTCTTCCCCCATTAAAAAAATAGTACTATATGTTGTAAGCATGTGCAGATGTTACATATTATACCCTCTCTTTAAACCATGTATAGTTTTTGCAAGAAACTGTATATTCAGTGTTGAGCACCAGTCCTTATAAGTCTCTAGTCATTTTTTTAATTGAAGCTCATTCTCTAGTTAAGATTCCTCGGGAAGCGTTCATGGGAACATTATTCCTGGAGTTTTTATTACAACTTATTTACGTACTTCTAAAACTTACAGATTTTATAAAACGTTATTGTGCTTATTGTTTGTATCATTATATTTGAAATTCAGTTTTGCTGGATGTAAAAATCCTTGGCTCGTTTTCTCGCTTGTGTATCTTTCTTAAATATGGTACTCCATTTTCTTTTGGCATTAAGTGTTGCTGTCAGAAAGCCCAATAATCTAATTTTCTTTTTCTTTAAAGTCCACTAGTTTTGCTAGTCTCTGTCTCGATGTTGGTAACTTTGGTTCTGTAGTCTCAGGTATGTGTTGTGCTTTTTAAATAATGTAGTTCAAAATCTTTTTTTATTTCAGGAATGTTATCTTGAATGACAGTTCTTGGTGGTGGTCTATTATCTTTGCTTTTCTTCTTCATCATCTCCTATTATTGTTTCAGCACCACAGTCCTCTTCTGCAGTTTGATCGCTGTCTTTTTTCTCAGCTACCCAGAACTGAAGCCTGTGCAGTCCATCAACGCCCATCCTTCCAACTGCATCTGTATCAAGTTTGACCCCATGGGGAAGTACTTTGCCACAGGAAGTGCAGATGCTTTGGTCAGCCTCTGGGATGTGGATGAGTTAGTGTGTGTTCGGTGCTTTTCCAGGTAAGTGACTCTATCAGCACTTCCCTTGTTGGGTACATTAATTTTATTTCATCTTGAGTGACATTGTTCCCTCCTCTTACTTGGTAATTCTCTTGTCTCTTCTGTCCACTCTGTATCATAGGCTGGATTGGCCTGTAAGAACCCTCAGTTTCAGCCATGATGGGAAAATGCTGGCGTCAGCATCGGAAGATCATTTTATTGACATTGCTGAAGTGGAGACAGGTAACTTCATGAGAATCTACCGTCTTTCACCTTTGGCAGTCAGGACTTCTCTTGTGATCTCATCTCTGCATGTGACTACTTCACCAGCATGATCATGAATGAATTTGTCTCCTTTAGACAAGTATGTTTCTGTTTTGACTGTCACTGCCAGGTGGTGAGGAAGCAAAGAGTTAAGAAATAAACAGGCAGGTCTGAGGAAAGTGATTTAGAAAAATATTTTGATTTATTTAAACTTTAAACTACAGAGTAGAAGGAAGAAAAAAGCACCACTTGGGGTCCCACTCTCTAAATACCACCTGTTTTAAATGTTGTGATATATTTCTCTTTATCTTTTGCCTGTATATGAACTTGAAAAAATATTATTTAAAATTTGAGGAATTATAAAGTTTTTGCTTTAAAAACAACAGAAGCTGGAAATAGAAAAATGGGAGGAGAGTATTCATTTTGCAAAAGAATTTCCTCAGATTTGTTTTTTAATGTTGCTTTATTGTTTTTGGAAATCTTTGACACTCTTCGTAAAAAGATTAAAACTGTATAGAAAACTTCGAAGAGGAAAGTAAAGAACTTGAAATTCCACTATGTAAAGAATGCATGCCCCTGTTAGTCACGTTGTGGTGAACATTGTCCAGCATCCAGCCATGCAGATCCTTCATGTAACTGCATGTCCCTGTGACGCGGAGACACTTTCCTGCTCAGTGACCTGCTCTTGAGTTAACCCACCTGTGCTCAGAACCGGCTCTGTCCTCCACTGGCTTGTGGGCTCTCTGTGCCTGGGGGTTCTCTGTAAAATGAGGTAATAGTTGTATCTATCTCATGGGATTAGTAGGTGGATTAAACCAGTTAATACTGGTAAGTACTTAATGAATGTGTCCTTCGTTTTGAACGTATTGATTGGTTTCTCTCTATTGTTTTCTGTAGGGGACAAACTATGGGAGGTACAGTGTGAGTCTCCGACCTTCACAGTGGCGTGGCACCCCAAAAGGCCTCTGCTGGCATTTGCCTGTGATGACAAAGACGGCAAATATGACAGCAGCCGGGAAGCCGGAACTGTGAAGCTGTTTGGGCTTCCTAATGATTCTTGAGAGGAGGTTGTAGGGAGAGGAGGCCCCGGCAGAGGTCTTCCTTCATGTGGTTAGTTTGGTCTGTTCTCTCGGAGTTGGTGGGCACCCTAAATATTTGTAAGTTGGTATAAATTGTAAACGTCTCTGGTCAGGCTGCGCATTTCATTCTTTTGCTTTGTCTGTGTATTAGCTCTTTCCATTCTTTGCCCCCAGCATGAGTTAACTCGCGTGGACTCTGCAGTGCGAGTAGTGACCCCACCATACCTTGTCCTCTGGACCTCCTGTCTTCTCTGCTTCTGGGTGCATGGTAGACTTTGTGGCATTTGATACAACTTGGACAATACCTAGTTTGGAGGGAGGGGAATGGAAGGGCATGGAAGTTTTTTTAAATAATTAAAAATATATATATATAATTTTGAGAATTGAGCATTTAATAAACTGACTTTTGTTATTATGGAACTTCTAAGACTTTTAAAATTATTATGTCCTTGAGTTGCAGTTTTGTATTTTTTTTTTTTTTAATTTCAGAAAGAGAATTTAAATGTTATAATTCTGTCATTTAATGTCCCAACCAAGAAGCCTCTGAAATATAGGGACAAAGCTAATTGAATGACCAAACTAAAATTTTGGCTCTGAGCTTCCTGGTGGCAAAGTGAAGAGGGGAGTAAGTCATTTAGCTTTCTTATTGAAAAGAAAAACACTTATTGGTTCCTCATGGAAAGCAAAGCTTTATTAGTTCTTCCCTCTAAAAAAAAGGGCTTATGTTTGGAGGGTTGTTACCTAAGAGCAGTGGTTTTTCATTATATTGTAATTTTGTTTGGTGTTAAAGCAAATATTGAGGCATATAGAAATAGTGTTGGTAGAAAATTTTGGAAAAAGATAAGCAAAAAGAAAAATTACATTCCTAGCACCAAGAGGTAACTGCTATTAGAATTTTGATGTATATCCTTCCAGAAGTTTTCTCGTGTCCATGTTTATGTATAAAAACATGTTTATCTTCATACATGAAGGGTAGACAAACCAAGTATGGCAAGATAAGTTAGGCAAGGTGCATAGCACCATGTTGGGGAGTATTATAAACACTCAACAAGTCTTAATAGACATTTGTAGTTACTGGGCATTCACTACATGCCTGCTACTATAAGGAACACTTTTATCAGCTGTTACTCAGTGTTTGCAGCAGCCTTCTGAGGTGGGTGTTATCACCATTTTACTACCTCAGGGAGTTTAAGTAACTCAGTGTTACTCATCAAGTGACTGTATTCAGATCTAGGTTTGTTTAAAGGCCCATGTGCCTTTGCTTGTAATGGGCTACTCTGTTTCTGCAAGTATTGCCATTCCCGCTTCACAGATGAATAAACCATGGCCATGAGAAGTCAACTGTTGGCTCATAGTAGTGAGTGATGTGTTGAGCAGGTGCAGTAGTGTGCACAGTAGTGTTTGCAGTAGCGTTTCTCACCTTCCCTGATGAAGGGTCTTTTCAGTTGCAAACCAACTTGCCACCTCAGCGGCAGAAGTTGAGTGTTGTTCGTGTCACCGTGAGTAAATTTGATGCATTATTTCTTGTTTTTGCAACCATCTGTCATTCCTGTGGTCTCTGCCATGTTTATATATTCCCTCTAGAACTGGTACCAGATGCTGAGGGTTTGGGCTACATCTTAATATTTGATTGATTCCCTCTTCCATCCTTGTGGATTTTTTTCTCCTCTGGGTTTATGTAAATTAGTGATCCACACGACCTGTCACTTAAACAAGAGGAAACTTTGCATTTAACTGGTGGGACACTTGTAGCAACAGGAGAACACACATCCATGAGCAAGGAGTCCCAGTGTGTGTGAGTTTTTGCAGACTCTCAAGGTCTTGATGACACCATCTCTGTGCCTTGGCTTTGAAGTACTGGAGGAGTTCAAGGTGGGTCCATCCTGGGGAAATGACATGTCTCAGACCCGGGGCCCCTTTGGTTTGAGTGCATTTTCTAATTCTGCAGAGCTGGAAGGATGCCATTCAGAGTCACAGCTGGCCATTTATTATTTGGTCTGTCGAGGCGTTTTCTGCAGTTGCTACTACACACATCAGCAAGTCAGGAGTGAGTGGGGAGGTCAGCTACGAGCTAGATTTTAGTTGGCAGGGAGAGTCTAGGATTTGCTGCACTTGTTCACACACACACTTACTCATCATGTGCCCAAACAGACTGCAGTATCCACATACCAATGACCCACTGTTGTGTTGGCTGGAATGACAAGTCAGACTGATAGGTAGTGAAGTTTGTAGTATCATCTCTTTTGCTGAGATCCTGGTATTTGGATGGCGTGAGATCCAGAGTAGGATGAGCCATGCCACATGGGAAGCTTGTGAAGTGTATGTGCCATGTTGTTCCCCACACCTTAACCTGTGTGGGTGGGAGGCTGAGCAGCTGGAGTCCTGGGAGAGGGTCCTGTGTGGGGATGGGAGGCTGGTGCAGGGAGTCCTGACCAGAGGCAGGTGGATCCAAGGAAGGGGCTAAGCCCAGAGCAGGCTCCTAGGAGGTCTTGCAGGGGCGGGGGGTGTAGGGTCTGGGGGAGGGAAGACAGAGAGAATCTGGTTGGGGTGCGATGTGATGTGTGGGTTGGCTCAGTTGAGAGTGGCCAGGAATGGGGTAGAAATGTCCTTGAGCCCTTTCCTGTTTGAAAGATGTATTCTGCTCCCTAAGGGTTTTAGTTACACAAAGGACCATGAAATGTCTTCCTGCTTTGGAAGGAAAAAAGCCCATAGACAGATGTAAAAGGTAATTCCTCTCTTCAGGAAGAGAGTAGAGGTTGAACAGAGTGTGTTGCGGACTCAGAGATACCCAGATGTAGGTGAGGCGTTGCGTTCTTTTCTCTCTCTGACGCTGTGGTGCGGTGGAGATAACACTGGCTTCATAACTTGGGCAGAATCAGATTTGAAGCTGGCTCCAGCAGTGGTTTATCTGAACCCACTTTGCTCATCCATTAAGTGGAGACAATGAATCCCCTTCTTGGGTCGTTAGGAAGATTAAACAAGATACAGCCTGTACGGTGTCTAGCACAGCACCTGGCACAAGGGAGGTGCTTAATAAGCCTTCCCCTTGCTTGAGGTGGAGGAGCTCCTAGCGAGAGCATGGAGACCTGTCACTGGTCTGTCATCCTTCTCAGCTCCAGTGCCGCCACCAAGCGAGCAACGTTCATCATTCCAGAGTGAGTGCTGTGAAGGGAGGATATGGATCCATCACACCCCGGGCGCAGTGGGAGGTTCAGAGGAGAAATATGAGATCTGCTTTCCGTTTGCAGTCAGTTTGGGCTCATGATGGATAAGTGTGTGTGTGTGTGAACAAGTGGAGCATAACTCAGACTGCACAGCAGCGGGTGAAGGAGGAGGGGGGCAAAGCTCCTGTTAACTGAGGCTGCTGGGAAAGGGTCGTATGGGGAGGGGGTGGCCTCAGTGCAGGCCTTGGGTAGAGCAGAGGTGAGTGCAGGACAGGGGACAGGTGGGGGGGCGTTGCTGCAGCTTGGAGCCAAGCCAAGGTGTGGCCGTCAGTGTCCTGGACGTGAAGATGGTCAGGGGCAGTAGGAGATGTCGCTGGAGGGAAGAGGGAGGGAGGGGTGTCTGGTTCTGAGTGGTTTCAGTTTGGACTGGCTGGTAGTGTGGCTGGGTGAGTAGGTAAGAGACGGATATACCTGGGTTCAGATCCTTTCCTGCCATTGCTAACAGGGAGACTTTAGCCAAATTACTTCACCTCCATGATTTTGCTTGTCTTTAAGATGTGCCTGATGGTAATGTGACTTAGGAGGGTTCAATGAGTTGCTGTGTGTAAATGCCTGGCACACTGTGGGCGTGCAGGAAACAGCAGCTCTTGTTACCTAGGTGCTAATACCATACGTGTGTGCTGTATAACCTCCCTACCTTAGGAAGGGGTTTTCAGTGTCCCCTGGGCTCATCACATTGTCTAAAAGGGAGGGATATAGCGTTGTAAAGAAGATACTGTAGCCTTGAAAAGAGGATGGGATTTGGAGAAAATGAATATTTGACAATTATTTTTTATCACCCATTTGTAGAGCTAAGGCCATTTAACTTTCAGGAACACTAAACTGGAAACTATTCAGCCAATATTTATACAGATTTACTAACAGTTTACATGTTTGGGATGGTTAGTGATGCAGAGCCATAAGTTGTTGAATTTTAAGACATCCGGCAAGAGGCATAAGTCGTTCAATTTTAAGACATCTAGCATTTCACTCTTTTACGACTTACAAGAAGCAGACCTGCTTGTGAAAACATGCCCACCTGACCAGCAGCGTCAGTGACAGAGTCACCGGGTACAACTTGCCCGCTGTCAGGGACCACTGGGGCACCATAGATCTACCAAGAACAAGTTGATAAATTTACATTTCCTGTTACCTTCCTGATAAGGTTACTGGAATACAGGTCAGGGAATGGTGCAGATGCAGCAAGGAATCTGTCCAGTCATCTCGGGATGTCCTTGAGGACCAAAGGAAATCTGGGCTGGCACAGGTTGATTTGTAGCTGGTCATCAACTGTACCCCCAAGGGGGATTACAGTCAGCTTCGAGAATAGCTGCTCTCCTGAAGTATCACGGTTGAGTTCAGGTTGAGGGTGATCAGGCCTGTGATTGTTTATTGAACGTTTATGATGGGCTGTGTCTCCTCCAAAATGACGGCCAAAGTGCTTTGCTCAACACATAGGAGGCCCTCTCACGCTCTGTTGGGTTGACCACAAATTGAACTCATCTGGCTAGGACTGTACAAGGGAGAGGGATAAACCAGACCACTGTACCTTGGACCTACTGTACGGGTAAAAACTGGTTCAAGGAGGTTAGAGAACTTGTCCAGGGTCAAACGGTCTGTATATGAGTTTGAAGCCCATGTTCCTTTCATCCCAGCTGTTTAAGTTTAGCCTAGTCTAGATGTGGCTTAACAGTAACACAGATGTAAAGGCTTAGGGTCTTAGGAGTTTGACCATCAACATGGGATTCACCTGGTTCTTTGTGGGAAAGATGTCACACTGCTGATGGGCAGAAGCCAGGGGACAGAGAAGCTTTAGCTTGGAGACCTGGAAACAACACATTCAGGGGAAGAGGGTTCATTTATTCAGCCAGTCACTCAACCCCTCTCCTGTGCCAGGCCTGACTGGAACACTGAGGGTACAGAGGTGAAGGTCCCACAGCCTGGTGTGCAGATGGTGACAATTCATGTGAGTGGTTTCATTAAAAAGCAAGACAGATCCCACCTCTCCCTTGCCTAGAACACTCCATTGGCTCTCACTCCACCTTCCTCAGATCTGATCTTCCCAGGCTGCTTTCTCAGCATTTAGGTCTTAATTTAGAAGCAGTCCTCTCTAACCTGAATGTTAATGTAGCCTCCCTTTGCCCCATTGCTGGATCTCTTCCCACCGACTTTAATTTTATTCAGCGTGCTTATCATGGGAAGCTACTCCTGTTTGCTTCCTTTGTGGCTGTCTCCCCAGGTAAACTGCCAGATGTTCTAGCAATTTTGCCTGACATGTTCATTGCCGTACCCCACATCTCCAGCACCGTGCCTGGTAGTACTCAGCAGGTGTTCAATAAATAGCCATTAAGTAAACGAATGCACGAGAAAGGAGTTACCAATCTGGGCAGAATGACAAGCAGGCGGTTAGTCCTTGCTTGGTGGGGATGTGGGAGGGGAGGAGGCAAGAAGGTGGGATCTCAGCGTGGTAGGTGCTGTAATCCCCAGTTCACAGGGTGGGAAGCAGGTTGTGTTTCCTTGCTCCAGTGACTCAGCTGTGAGGCAGAGAAGCAGGATCTATACATTTGTGTGCAGCTTCAAAGCCCAGGTCTTCCAGGAGGTCAATTTTTCTTGATCCTGGCTATATACTGGAACCACCTGATGTTCATTCTCCATGCCAAGCAAGCTCCCCAGGGGATTCTAACAGGATGGAGAATCACCATCCTAGGCCCTGGTGCTTCTCTGATCTGTGGAAAGGTGAGTGTTGTCACAGAAATGGCACAACAGTGCCTGGGAGTGGAGGGAGAAGGCTTCCTGAAGAAGGCACTGGGGTTTGTCTTAGAAGGGTGGGTAGGAATCTGCTGGGCAGCTCTTGGAGAAGGTTTGAGGCAGAGGGGCTGGTGTCTGCAAAGGCGTGGAGACATGCACCATCCTGGTCTGGTGTGGACAAGGAGCAGGGCAGCGGGGCAGGCAGGGTGAGGATGGACTCCTTGAACAGTCTTGCACTGAGGAGAGTGTTGACTGACATATTTGGACTCTTCTACCTTGTCTGTCATGGTCTAACGCATGTCTTTTCTGGGTGTGGTTTCTTTTCTTTTTTTTTTTTTTTCTTTTTTCGAGACTGAGTCTCACCCAGGCTGGAGTGCAGTGGCGTGATCTTGGCTCACTGCAACCTCCACCTCCCGGGTTCAAGCGATTCTCCTGCCTCAGCCTCCCGAGTAGCTGGGACCACAGGTGTGTGCCAATACACCCAGCTAATTTGTGTATTTTTTAGTAGAGATGAGGTTTCAGCATGTTGGCCAGGCTGGTCTCAAACTCCTGACCTCAGATGATCTGCCTGCCTTGGCCTCCCACGTGCTGGGATTACAGGCGTGAGCCACGCGCCCAGCAGGATGTGGTTTCTTGAGGATCCTTTCAGGGCTTTGGCCTCTCCCAGCTCCTATCCCACTATTATTAGGGTCACAGAGGAGGAGGTCAAGACTGGGATTTACCCATGAAGGCTCTTTGGATGAAATCAGCTGGATATTGGCTGGGTCACTTTGTTAAAGACCAGAACCTGGGGTGGGAAGCCTGTGCCTGTTTGGATGTCAGAGCCCACAGCCATGGGCCCCTGGCCCAGCTTCCTAACCAGTTTGGCCCTATTTGCCTTGGAAGCACTTGGGCTGTGGGGTCAAATGGTCCCACGCGCTGATCTTGGCCTTGGCGCTTGCTGGCTGCATGAACATGAGTACATCTTGTCACCTGTCCCAGTTTCAGTCTCTCTATTCTGGGCAGAAGGATTTTCTCACCGACAAGGACTAAGTACCCTCCTGTAGGCTCAGGACTAGGGCAGAGCTTGTACACGATAGAGGAGATGCTCGATCGGGTTCTCTCTCCAAGTCCTGCTTCTCATGGATTTAAGGGGCTGTGGAGGGCCTGACTGCTGTGCTGAGTTAGGACCGGGGCCTGCCAGTGGAGTTCTAAGGCCTTTAAAGAGTTTGAGTTGTGTTTTAGGAAGACCACCTGGGGCAGTGTGGAAATGTCATGATTGAGGGAGAGAGTTTCTTGAAGCAACTCCGTCTAGTGCAGAGCTTCTCAAGCTAGGGTGCATCTAAGTATCTGGAGGAGCTGTTAAAGCACGTGTTGCTAGATCCCACTCTGAGAGTTTTATTTTTGTTTGTTTGTTTTTTGAGACGGAGTCTTGCTCTTGTTGCTTAGTCAGGAGTGCAATGGTGCGATCTCGGTTCACTGCAACCTCAGCCTTCCTGGGTTCAAGCAATTCTCCTGCTTCAGCCTCCCCAGTAGCTGGGATTACAGGTGCCTGCCACCATGTCCGGCTAATTTTTATTTTTTCTTTTTGTATTTTTAGTAGAGATGGGGTTTCACCATGTTGGCCAGGCTGGTCTCATACTCCTGGCCTCGTGATCTGCCCACCTCGGCCTCCCAAAGTGCTGGGATTACAGGTGTGAGCCCAGCCGAGAGTTTGATTTTCTAACATTCTCAGGGGTCGCTGTTGCTGCTGCCGCTAATGTTGGTAAAGTGGTTAGTCAGATAGATACAGGGCCCTTGCCCAGGGTTTAAACCCTTGCTGGGTTTAAACTTTAGATCTTCTACTTGTAGCTAGCTATGTGGCCTTGGCCCGTTCCTCTAACCTGTGTGAGCCTTAGTTTCCTCATCTGTAAATTGGAATGCTACCTGCTTCCTAGGATGTTGTAAGAATCCCATGATTTAACGTGTATAATCCCTCAGCACAGTGCCTGTGGTCAGCATTTAATAGAGGATCGTTTTATTATTTTATTAATACCAGTGAGGAGGCTGTTGCTGAAGTCCAAGGGAGAGATGAAAGAGAGGCTGAACGAGGCTCGTGGCTGAGGGATGGAGGGCATCTGTTTTCTCAGTGGCTCAAAGCCTATGATCCTCCCTCATAGGAGAACACGCTGCTTCCTTCCACAGCGGGAACTTGCTGAAAACCTGTCGGCTGGTGCCTGTGTGTCCTCTAGAGGGCAGTGGAGTCAAGGCTGAGGATGGAGCATTGTGTGCCCTCGGTTGGGGCTGGTCTGTGCGTTCAGCCTTTATTCCCTGTTCTGAAACCCAATTGTGTATTTGCATTGGACTGTCCCCTCCTCCTTGCTCTGTGTACTTGCTGACGCTTTTTGGAAAACACATCACAGGGCACCTCTGATTTCCTGCTTGTCTTGTAGCCTGGGATTAGCAGTAGCTGAAGCGTGCTGCTTTCTGGCAGTTGTGTTTATTTCTCAAGGGCACAGGCTGTACAGATCATGGGGGCCTGCTCCCTGCAGCTCAGCTGAGCCTAGGATGAACCACAGTTGCTCTTATGCCAGTTAAAAACTTGGGGCCTGTTCCATCTTGCATTTCCTCCCCCGCTTCCCAGTCCTCGCCCGCACCCTTTGATCCTGTGAGTGGAGAAATGAAGAGAACTCCAAATCCTTAAGCCATTTTGAAGGCCGGCTGGCAGCAGGGCTTTCTGTGGGCCTGGTAAGCAGCCCTAGTTGAATCATTTTAGAGAAGGGCAGGTATTCTTTCAAGGTTATAGAAAGAAAGAAAAAAAAAAAAAAAAAACCAGAAGCACATTTATAATATTGGACAGTATACCTTGTCCCAAGCCCTGTACATTTGCTTTATTCCATAATAATAATAAAAGGTACTAGTGACAGCAGCGTCCGCTCACTGATTGTGTGGTAGGAGCCAGGTACTATGCTAAGTGATTTTCATGTGTTAACTCTTCTAAGCCCGGTAACTGCCCGTGAGATTATTAATCCTGCAGAAACTGAGGCTCAGGGAGGTCCCAGTAACACACATTGGGCCAAAGAATGGTGCTATTAGAAATTCAGACCAGTGTGTCTGACTCCAGTTTGCTAAAAACCTGCCTGCTGTCCAAGCTCCAGAATCACTGGGCATGGTCGATTCCATTTTTAGCCCAGCTCTTTCCAAAAGACATTAGGCATTAGACAGGAGAAGGCCATGGTTTTTACAAAGCAGTCTGTTTAGTATTCATGATCCTATAGCATAAGATTCAGTTAAGAGCAGGGATTCAGAGCCAGATTGCCTGGGTTCAAGTCCTGGCTCTGCCACTTACCATCTTTGCAACCTTGGGCAAATTCTTTGATGTCTGAGCCTTAGTTTTTTCATTTGTAAAATGGGGCATAATGGTAGCCACCTCATTGGTTTTCTCTGAGGGTTAAATGAGTTAATATATGTAAAGTGCTTAGATTAGTGCTGGGCACTAAGTAATACCTCAGTAGATGGTAGCTATTGTCATCATCATCATTATTCTTAATCATTATGCTGTATTCACCCATATATTCTCAGTGCCTGACTTATATTAGGGGTTGGTGAATATTGAATAAAATGATCCTTTGGATTCAGATTTTTTTTTTTTTTTTTGAGTTGGCGGGTGCCAGGAGCTAGCTTGATATAAAAATGAATCAATGTTAGACCCTTTCCTCAGGACTTCTCAGTCTGGTTGGAGAGGCCAGGCATGTGTGTGAATTACTGTAAAAGGCAGAAACATACCATGGAGGTCCTGATGTGGGCGAAAGCACTTTTGGACTGGGGTGCAGGCCATGGGCCAGCTTCAGAGGAGGTGGCTTTGGAATTAGGCCTTGAAAGGTGGAAGGAGGAGGGGAAGAGTGGGTTGGACTAGAGAATTCAGGCTTCTCTTGGGCCTCATATACCAATAAGTTCACAAATGAACATTGAGTCAGATTGGGTTTTTATTCATTCAGCAAATATTCATCCAGGATGGTTGGAATCAGGCACTGAGACATCGTGATGGCTTTGAACTAGGCCCTGCCCTCAAGTGCCCTGGGTCTAATGGGACAACAGCCAAGGAAACAAGTGATGGTTATTCAGTGTGATGAGGGGCAGTATTGACTTGGAGCCTTTCAGATGTGGGTGAGAGGCACCCGAGTCAGACTGGTTTAAGCAGAAAGGAAATTCACACTGGCTCATTTACCTGGAATATATTCAAGTGTGGCTGGATTCGGGGGTCTCAAAATATGTCTTTAGGAAACTGCTTGCCTCTTTCCCCTGCTTTTCTCTGTGTTGGCTTCACTCTTTGGCAGATTGTCCCTTTGCAGTGTCACAGGTGGCCTCCGGCAGCTCCTGGCTTCCAAGTCACCAGCTCAGGGAACCCCAGCAGAAGGAGGATGCCTCTTGATCAGTAGTTTCCTCTGGAGTTGTGGAATTGAATATCACAGGACACTGTCAGTCATATGCATCCACCATGGCTGCAGGGATTGCCTGCCCACCCCTGCGAGGAGTACAGAGATACAGGGCATATTAGTTTTGCCCAAATCACATGAGCTGAGGTGGGTGGTGGGGGGAGGGAACTGTTATTTCACAAAGAAAATTCAGATGCTGTCACCAGGCAAAACCCACAGATGTCCACTACAGCTACCACCATGGAACAGAATAATTCACCCATTAAGCACCTGGCTTGGGACTCCAGTTCCCAGGGATGGAATCCCAGCTCCACCATTTACAAGTTGTGTGACTGTGGCTGGGTCACTTCACCTGTCAGCCTGAGTCTCAGTGTCCCATCTGCACAATAGGAGTGATGGCCCACACTGCCAACTTGAATCAACGTGAAAGCACCTTGCAAAGAGTCCAGGCAGGCTCAGGCAGGCGGCACTGCAGTTTGGGGTGGCATGAACTATGATGTCTCTGGCATGTTATCCGACCAGTTCCAGGGCAGCTGTCTGCAGAAAGCAGCCGGTCGTAGCACAAAGAGTCAGGCTGTCCTGGGTTCAAAGCCTGAACCTCCCACTTACAAGCTACATGTTCCTTCATGATAATCACCTTTCCTGCCTCCCAGGGTTGTTGGAAGTGTCAAGGGGACATGTAGACAGCCTGGCACACTTTGTTCTGGGAGTGGTGATAGCTGTGTTCATAGTACAATTGCTACTCCACAGCATGCCAGGAGTCCAGGTGTGAATCTAACGGGACAGACCCCATACTCTGTGAACAAAAGCCCATCTTTCTGGATAAAGGGTACATTTGGCCAGCAGCCAAGGGCCCTGGGAAGGCTTTGTGCAGCCCGGCCCTTCCCTCCTTCCATTCAGCGAGGGGTGGGTACAGCCTCACGGAGGTTCATGTTTCACTATTAATTACCCCCCAGGCTCTTTTATCAGCCTGTCTCTCATTCCCACCACAAGGCTGTCAGCCAGACAGTTGGAACAGAATCTCATTTGGAGTGTGTTTGCTCTTCTCCCCCATTGCTGGCAGAGATCTGGGATCAGCTCTGCATTAGGACAAGTTGTAAGTAAACACACATTTGCTCAAATGTGGCCCTCGTCCCATTCTGTAGCCTTATCTTAGATTTGGGCAGCTTCAAATCAGGGAGCCAGTGTATTTGGAAAATACCTAAAAGTCGTTTAATTCAACCTACCCACTTTACAGAAGAGTAAATGGAAAATTGGAGGTTAGGTCGCTCATGTTTATATGAACTATTGAGGATACAGATAGAGCTGGAAATCAGGTCTTCCAACTGTTAGTCCAAAACTTTTCCCACAAAAACCTGGCGCTTCCCTCCAGTAGCACATATTGAACATCTACTAGTATATTCCAGGCCCTCTTCTAGGCCCTATAAAAACAGAGTTGAATAAGAAATAATCTCTGCCCTTGAAATGCCTAGGAACTTTCCATTCATTCATCCATCCCTTTGTACGTTCATGTTTCTGTCCATGCAATCACTGATCTGGTGTTTGTCTTATCTGTTCATCTCACTACCCATCCATCCCCCCATTCGTCCTTTATCTACTCATTTTTCCATTTGTCTCCTCTCTCCATCCATCCATGAGTACATCTGTTTATCTCTTTATCCATTCATCCAGCCATCAGTGTGTCTATAAGGCCCAAGTCCTAGGCTGTGCTGGGATGGAGATAAGTAAGAAACAATCTTTGCTGTTTAGGCTTTTACATCCAGTGCAGACAGACACAGAAACCTGCCTCAAAGGATGTATAAAAGGCTCTCGTACACAAGAAAGGACTTGCAATTCTGCCTCGTATTTCTGTGAAGGCTTCATTCTAAGGGTTGAAATAGTGCTGCATCTGGATAGGAGTTTCCCAGTGGGGAAGATGGGGAAGAACCTAGGCTGAGGGAACAACAGGAGCAGGGGCGTGAGGCTGTCCGGTGGGTGTAGGAGGAAGAGGAGTTTCGTGTCATTTGATGACTCCTTCAAGGAGCAAACTGGCCAGTTATAGTCAAGAGGGGTTGTCAAAGCCTATTTGGAGAGGACCTTGAATCCCAGAGCCAGAATGCCACCCTATGCGCGTTTGGGAGGCACTGTAAGATTTTCAGCAGGAAGTGACATAGGTGAGCATTTCAGAGAGACCACTCCAGGCAGTAGGATTAGAGGCAGAGGGACTCAAGTGTGAGGAGTGTTTAGAGCCTGTTCTGACAGCCTTAGGACAGTTGACATCCTGCCTGAATCAAGGTGTCCATAGCAGAGATGGGGCCTGCAGGGTGGGGTTTGAGCGACATGTGGAGAAAGTAGAACTTGAATGGTGATGTCAGAGATGTCTGACTGGGGCCGGAGGGGTGGAGGGAGGGGGTATAGATGACAATGCCATTTGCTTAGCTAAAGACCACAGGAGAAAGGGTTGTGGGGGATGCTGCAACAGTAATGCATTCAGTTTTAGACGAGCTGCATTCGAGGTGTCTGTGGGATAGCTGGGGAGACGTTGAGGATGCAGTTAATTATAGGATCTGGAGCTTGTGAGAGATGGGGCTGGGGGGAGCCAGTGAGACATCTGGAGTGTGGAGAGTGCTGACTGCGCGCAGAGCAGCAGAGGCAAAGCCGGAGTGGAGGCCTGGCATGGACCTTCTTATTAAAGGCATGGACCTTCTGGACTGCAGCAGGCTGTCCCAGAGAGGGAGGAGAGCGAGGAGTGTGTGAATTTTGCTAATTGTACTGTGGTTATGTACACTGTTGGCATTAGGGGGATCTGAGGGAAGGGTGTTTGGAAATAATGTGTGTTGTCTTTGCAACACTTCTGTAAGTGTAAGATAATTTCAAACCAGAAGTAGATTGTACTGGGTGGAGCAGTGCCTGCTTTACTCCTGTGTTATGTTTTTAAATGCCTTTTTTGATTTACATATTGACATGCAATAAATTACACATGTTGAAAGTGTGTGATAAGCATACGATAGTTTGATAAGTTTTGACATACATATTCTCTCATGAAACCCATCACTGCAGTCAGGGTAGTGAATACACCTGTCACTTACAGACAGTTCCTCATATCTCCTTGTCATTCCTCTCTGTGCCTGCACCTCTCCCTGCAATAGACAACTGCTGATCTGCTTTGCGTTACTGTGGTTAGTTTGTCTAGAGTTTCGTATAAATGGAATCATACAGCATGTACTCTTTTTAAAATTATTACTTAAAAAATTGAGGTAAATTATATATTTAATTTACCATCTTTACCATTTTAAAGTGTCTAGTTCAGTGGTAATAAATAGATTTATAAGGTCGGGCACGATGGCTCATGCCTGTAATCCCAGCACTTTGGGAGGCCGAGGGGGGCAGACCACCTGAGATCAGGAGTTCGAGACCAGCCTGGCCAACACGGTGAAACCCTGTCTCTATTAAAAATACAAAAATTAGCCAGGCGGCATGGTGGAGCATGCCTGTAGTCCCAGCTACTCAAGAGGCTGAGGCAGGAGAATCGCTTGAACCCAGGAAGTGGAGGTTGCAGTGAGGCAAGATTGCGCTACCGCACTCCAGCCTGGGTAACAGACCGAGGCTCCATCTCAAAAAAATTTTTTTTAAATTATAAAAATAAAATAAATACATTTATATGTATATTTTCTCCCATCATCACCTCTCTTCCTTCCCCTTCCCAGCCTCTGGTAACAACCAGTCTACTCTCTATCTTCATGAGATCCACCTTTTTAGCTCCTGCATATGAGTGAGAACATGCAATATTTATCTGTTTATGCTTGGCTTATTTCACTTAACATAATGACCTCTAATTTCATTTATGTTGCTGCAAATGATAGGATTTCATTCTTTTTTATGGCTGAATAATACTCCATAGTGTATTTTTGGTGGAATCTTTAAATTTTTTTCTAGGTATAAGATCATGTCCTTTGCAAACAAGGGTAATTTGACATCTTCCTTTCAGATTTGGATGCCTTTTACTTCTTTTTCTTGCCTAATTTCTCTGACTCAGCATGTACTCTTCTGTCTTGCTCCATTTAGTCAGCATAATTATTTTGAGATTCATCCATTTTGTTTTTTGCAAAAATAGTTCATTTTTATTTCCGCAGAGTATTCCATTGAATGGATATATCACAATTTGTTTATCCATTTAGCTGTTGGTGGCCATTTGTTTCCAATATGGGGCGGTTACAAACAGCTTCTGTGAACATTTGTGTACAAGTCTTTGTACGGATATATATTTCCTCTTCTCCTGGGCAGACTCCTAGGAGTGTGATGGCTGCATCATATGGTAAGTGTATGTTTAACTTTACCACCACGAGAGTGCCATTTCCCCCACACCTTCGCCAACACTTGTTATAGCCAGTCTTTTTATTGAAGCCATCCTAATGGGCATGTAATGGTATCTCACTGTGGTTTTAATTTGCATTTTTCTAATGACTTACATTGTAGAGCATTTCTTCATGTGCTTATTTGCCATCTGTATGTCTTCTTTGGTGAAATGCCTATTAAAATATTTTGACCGTTTTTTCAAATTAGCTTGCTTGTTTTCTTATTGTTGAGTTTTGAAAGTTCTTTGTTTATTCTGAATATAAATGTTTAATCAGATATATTCTTCACGAATATTTTCTCCCTGTCTGTGGCTTGTCATTTTATTTTTTAAAGTGTCTTTCAAAGTGCAGAAGTATGTAATTTTGATGAAGTCCAATTTATTTATTGAGATCCAGAATACATAAGGAACTCATGTACAAGAACTTTGTTCTTTTATGGATCATGCTTTTGGTGTCAGATATAAAAAAATCTTTGATATGATATTCAAGGCCAAATATTTTTTTCTGTGTTTTCTTCTAGAAATTTTATAGTTTTAGGCTTTACATTTAGGTCTATGATCCATTTTTTAGTTAATTTTTTATAGATGATTACAAGTATGTATCCAAGTTTGTCTTTGTGCATATGGATATCCGGTTGTCCTAACACCATTTGTTAAGAAGGCTGCCTTTTGTCTACTGCATTTCCTTTGCAGTTTTGTCAAAAATTCAAATATGTATGGGTTTATTTGTTGACGCTTCCTTCTGTTTCACTGATCTGTGTGGCTATTTTGATGCCGATACCATGCTGCCTTGATTAATGTAACTTTATGATTCTTGAAATCTGGTAGTCCTAACCCTTCAACTTTGTTTTTTCAGAGGGGTGTGTGTGTACGTGTGTGTGTGTGTGTGTGTGTGTGTGTGTGTGTGTGTGTGTGAGTTCTAGCTTCTTTGCATCTCCCTATGACCTTTATAATTAGCTTGTCAATTTGTAAGAACAGCTTCCTGATACTTTAACTGGGGTTATGTTGAATATATGCAACAATTTGGGGAGAATTGATATGTTAATAATATTGACTCTTCTTTTAAAAATTGATTTATAGTATTTGTACATATTTATGGGGTTCATGTGATATTTTTGATAGGGCCAGGAGGCAGAGAAATTCCAGGCAGAAAAGGGCAGGGTCCCTGGCAAGGGCCCCACCCTCAAGCCTGACCCAAAGTGAGAACTTTACATCCCCGTTTTCCTGCTTGAATGTTGCCTTTTCCAAAACCACCCCTGGCCCACCCTGCACCCCCATCCCCTATTCATAAAAACCCCAGGCTTCACTGGCAGAGGGCAGAGAAAGGGAGAAGAGAAGAAGCAGCTGAACATCAGAGAGAAGCAGTTTGACTTCAGAGGAATGGCTTGATGGTGGGACTTTGGAGAAAAACACCTTCCTGCTCCATCCCCTTTCTAGCTCTCCTTCCCACTGAGAGCCACTTCCATTGGCAATAAAATCCTCCATATTCACCACCCTTCAATTTGTTCGTGCAACCTGATTATTCCTGGATGCTGAATAACAGCTCAGGAGCTACGGGTGTGAACACTAAAGGCTGTCACACTGACCCTCTGCCCTCACTGGTGGAGAGCAACCACCTCACGTGAAAAGGCAGAGGGCCCACTGAGCTGTTTAACACTTAAGCTGTCTGTGGATGGCAAAGCTAAAAGAGCACACTGTAACACACGCCCTCTGGAGCTTCAGGGATCACGAGTACTCCCCACTTGATGCTGCCTTGGGCCTGCACGGTGTTTTGCTCCTGCTGGCACCCAGAAGCACTCACCTTGGCTCGGCTCCTGTACCTCATCACCTGCGTGCTGCCCCTCCCATGAGGGGTTGAGAGCTGCAGGCTAAGTGAGCACCCTTGTCATGAGGCCTGCAGAGGGTTTAGGGAAAATTTCCTGTTTCATTTTGTTATATGCATAGACTGTTTAATGATCAAACGAGGGTGTTTGGGGTATCCATCCCCTCAAGTATTTATCATATCTATATCTTGGGAACATTTCAAGTCCTCTCTTCAAGCTATTTTGAAATATAAAACACATTGGTAACTGTAGTCACCCTACTCTGCTATAAAACATTAGAACTTCTTCCTTCTATAAAACTATATGTTTGTAACCATTAACCAACCTCTCTTTATCCCCCTGCACCACACTTACCCATCCAAGTCTCTAGTGTCTATCATTCTGTTCTCTACCTCCACGAGATTAACTTTTTTAGCTCTTACATTTGAATGAGAATATGGGATATTTGTCTTTCTGTGCCTGGCTTATTTTACTTAACATAATGACCTGCAGTTCTATCCATGTTGCTGCAAATGATATGATTTCATTTTTTTGACCAAATAGTATTCCACTGTGCATATATACCACATTTTCTTTATTCATTTGTCCACTGATGGATACTTAGGTTGATTCTATATCTTTGCTATTGTAAATAGTGCTTCACTAAGCGTGGAGTTCAGGTATCCTTTTGATACACTGATTTCTTTTCCTTTGGATAAATACCCAGTAGTGAGATTGCTAGACTGTATGGCATTTCTGTTTTTAGTTTTTTGAGAAATCCCCATACACTTTTCCATAGTGGCTGCTCTATTTTGTGTACCCACCAACTGTATAAAAGTTCCCTTTTCTCTACATCCTCACTGTCATCTGTTACTTTTTGTCATTTAGTAATAGCCATTCTGACTGGGCTAGGAGAATATCTCATTGTGATTTTGATTTGCATTTCCCTAATGATTAGTGATGCTGAGTGTTCTTTAATATACCTGTTGACCATTTGTAAATGTCTGTTCATGTCCTTTGTCCACTTGTTAATGGGACTTTTTATTTTTTTACTGTTGAGTTGTTTGAGTTCCTTGTACATTCTGGATATTCATCTCTTGTCAGATGGACAGTTTGCATATATTTTAATCCCATTCTGTGGGTTGTCTTTTCACTTTGTCGGTTGTTTTCTGTGCAGAAGCTTTTTAGTTTAATATAGTCCCACTTGTCTATTTTTATTTTTGTTGCCTGTGCTTTTGAGGTCTTAGCCACAAAAATCTCTGTCTAGACCAGTATCCTGAAGTGTTTCCCCTGTATGTTTTCTTCTAGTAGTTTTATAGTTTTAGGTCTTATGTTTAAATCTTTAATCCATCTTGAGCTGATTTTTGTATATGGTGAGAGATGGGGTCCAGTTTCATTCTTCTGCATATGGATATCTAATTTTCCCAGCACCAGTTATTGAATAGGGTGTCCTTTCCTCAGTGTATTTTCTTGGCATCTTTGTCAAAAATCAGTTGGCTGTAAATACGTGGATTTATTTCTGGGTTCTCTATCTTGTGATAATTCTTAACCAATAACAAGGTATATCTCCAGGTTTACGGTTGTCTTTTTTAATACTTTAAATATATTGCTACATTGTTTGTCTTCTTGCTTGCATTGTTTCTGATGAAAAATTTGTGTTATCTTCATCTTTATCCCTCTATATGTGACATTTTCCCCTCTATTTTAAGATTTTCTTTATTACTGATTTTGAACAATTTTATTATGATGTGTCTTGGTGTAGTTTTATTGATGTTTCTTGTTCTTGGAGTTTATTGAGCTTCTTGGATCTGTGGGTTTGTGGTTTTCATCAAATCTAGAAAATTTAGGATGTTATTTCTTCAAATATTTTTCTGTGTATTCTTTTCTTCAGGAACTTCAGTTGCATGTATATTAGGTTGTTTGAAGTTGTTCCATGGTTTACTGGCATTCCTTTCATTTTTTAAGCCATTTTTCCTTTGTGTGATTTATTTTGGATAGTTTCTATTGCTGTGTCTTTAAGTTCACTAATATTTTCTCCTGCAATGACTAATCTGCTGTTAATCCCATATAGTATATTTTCCATTTCAAACATTGCAGTTTTCATCTCTAAAAATTCAATTTCGGTCTATAAAAATATACCTTCCATGTGTCTGGTTAACTTTTTAAAAATATGGAATATTTTCAAAATATTATAATATAATACAATATGCTAAAATATAGTAACATAATGTCCTTCTTTGCTCGTTCTGATATTCATGTTAGTTCTAGATTGGTTATGATTGATTTTTTGCCTTATTATGGGTTATGTTTTCCTGCTCTTTTTTATGCCTATTAGTCTCTTATTGGATGTCATGCATTGTGAATTTTACCTTGTGTTGCTAGCTATTTTAGTATTCCTAAAAATGTTCCTGAGCTTTGTTTTAAAAAGCAGTTAAATCATTTGAAAACAGTTTATTTTTTTGTCTTGCTTTGAAGATGAGTTGTACAAGACCATAGCTGTATGTGGTGTTGGGCTGGTTATCCCTCACTATGAAGGCAAGCCTCTGAGTACTCTACTGAATGCCCTGTGGAGCTTGGGGCTTTACAATCTGGCTGGTAGGAACGGGCGCTATTCCTGGCCCTCAGAACCTGAAGCTGTTCCCTCAGATGCCCTTGAATGTTTTTTTCCCCTGGCCTTGGATAGTGCATGTACTGCTCAGTGCTTTGCTACATACTCTGGGGGACTCATCAGGTAGCTCCAGAGTTCTCTGTGTAGCTGTATACTCTTTAGAATCTGCCCTGCACACTGCAGACACCTAAGTATCTACAGACTTCTGTCTCCCAACTCAAATTTTGCAGACCTCTGCCTTGCTTCTCTCCCTCCCTGCCCTACAGCCTGGACACTCCAGGCAGCGAGGCAGTGCAGCTGTAGGCTCACTTTGTTTGTTTTCTGTCTCACAGGGATTATTGTCATTTGTTGCCTGATGACCACTGGCCTGAAAACTGTTGTCTCGTGTATTTTTTTTTCTGGCTTTTTGGTTGTGTCAGGTAAGAGTAAATCCATACCCTGTGACACCATCTTGCTAGAAGTAGAAGTGTTACCTTTTTAATATATTATTTTTCCTTCAAAACCCACATTAGAAGGAACTTTCCTCTGTAACAACAACCGACAGCTTGACAAAGTGTGTTCCCATTGTCCTGTGATTGCTCTGCTTTTCAAAGTAAGCCTGCGAGGTGGGTGTCATGTCATTCCCATTTTACAGATAAGGGGACAGAACCTCAGAGAGGTGAAGAGACTTGTTCAAGGTCACACAGTCTATAACGGCAGAGCCAGGATTGAACCCATGTCCCCATTATACTTGTAGTTCCCACAGGGGAGACAGAACCACATGAAGGGTTGGCATCACTATATTTTTTTTTGGGAGAGGTCAATAAAGGTGGGCTCAGAGAGTAATATATCAAGGCCTACGGGGCTAATGAGCCCAGGAGTTTGTGGAGAGTCAGAGATCTCCATGAGTTGTTTTCCTAATGCCCCCTTCCCACACCCAACCCCTTCAGATAAAGGAGTGTGCCTTCTACCTCATGCATCCATCCAGACAGGAGAATTGGGCTTTTTGCCAGAGCTGTAGACCTGGAGGTCTGGAACTTGGCCTGGCTTTGTGGGCTTTCATGGAAAGTGGAGAAGAGGGATTAGGGAAGAGGCAATGGATAAAAAGTACTGGTTGCTCAGGTTGGGGTGGTCAGGGAGGTGAGGGGAGGGAGAAGGGAGTACCAGAAGGCCAGTGGGTAGGCTTGCAGGAGCTGTGGGTGGATGGCGTGGCCCCAGGGGACAGGAGCTAGGTCCAGCCGGCTCCCACTGTCTTCTGGCTTGTAGGATTATCTCTGCTCCTCCCCCTTTCTCTGAGTGAGAAAGGTGGGAAATAAAATAATGAAGCCGTGAGTAGGTGAGGTGTTAGGGAGACAGCTTGCCAGGGTGGGCAGCACAGATGACTGGTGGGTGGGGAGGGAGGTGGTGGGAGGTTAATGTGCAGATCCTCAGATCTCCGAGAAACAGGGTGGAAGGGAGTCAGTCTGGTGTGCAGAGTTGCAGGTGGGGACAATAGTGGGTGATACCCAAGGCACAGGTGGTTTCCTGGGAAGAAGGTGATGTGGTCTTTTCTTGGCTATGGAGGAGATTTTGAAATGTACTTGGGTAATTTGTTTTTAGTCAAATTTCCTTCTGACTGGGTTATTTAAAGTGTAGAATAGATTGGAACATAATAGCTACCATTTATTAAGTATCTACCGTATGCTTGGAATGCATTTCACGTGCATCAACCCACTTCATATCACATTTACCCTGTGAGGTAGGTTCTGTTACTAATTCCATTTACAGGCGAGGAGTCTGTGTCTCAGGGATATGGTGGCTAGTTCAAGCCCCCGCTGCATTTTATTTATTTGAGATGAGAAAGATGTTCATGGGGGAGTCAGAGCCTGCTTCAATAGAAATCATCCAGTAGTTTTTATTGTTTTGTTTCTTCCCAGGGCCTGCTCTTCCACTTGGCAAATTCGGAGCTGGAAGGTGGGGTGGGATGGGGACTTGGGAAAGAAAACAAGGATTAAAGACACAATGGATGCCCAAGAGAAAAGAAAACTTAATTGTACATTTTTGTAATAACCCTGTTTGATAACCATTGAGAGAACTCCAAATGTTTTGTCCACCTAAGAGCAACCCTCTGTCTTCAGGGAAACAGGAGCTGCATCCCCAGCACTGCCTCCCTGCCTGGGGGCGGGCATTTGACCCTAGCTGTGCCAATCATAGCATTCCACCTCCACAGCAATAGTAATTGGTCCAGGCATGAGCACATGACTCAAACCAGGCCAATCACATCCTTTTCTGAGATTTTTTATTTAAAATTGGAGCTCATAACCTTACTTACCCCTCTAGCAAAAGGTAATGGTAGGTCTTCCCAGATCATCTGGCAAACACATTCTTAACCTTGTGGAGACACTGACTGGAACAAATTAAACATATGCCAATAAAGTAAAGAAAAGATGGGCAGTTTCTCTTTCTCCCTTCCAAAAGCCCTGATTTCTGTTTAGAGAGCTATGTAGTCCTAGAAACATTGACTCTCCCTGTCCCTGTGACCCCAGAGTGGACCACTTGGCCTGGGCTGGGCACTCAGCACATTCCATTTCCCCACTGCAGAAACTGCCCAAGATGGGCAGTTATCAAGGCTAGTCCAATCAGAGTGAATTAAAGACTTGTACTGAATGCTGAAGTGCAGTGTCTCTTTCCTGTTGGATGAGAACCAACCAGGAAGCATGCAACTACCCTGTGAGCTTCCATTTTGGGACCAGCAGGCAAGCCAGTCTTGGAATAAGTTTGATCCTTTTTTTTTTTTTAAATGTATGTATGTATGTATTTTTTGAGATGGAGTTTCACTCTGTCACCCAGGCTGTAGGGCAATGGTGAGATCTTGGCTCACTGCAACCTCTGCCACCTGGGTTCAAGCTATTCTCCTGCCTCAGCCTCCCGAGTAGCTGGGATTACAGGCTCCTGCCACCACTCCTGGCTAATTTTTGTATTTTTAGTGGAGATGGGGTTTTGCCATGTTGGGCAGGCTGGTCTCGAACTCCTGACCTCACATGATCCACTCGCCTTGGCCTCCCAAAGTGATTACAGGCGTGAGCCACCTTCGCCTGGCCTGAGATTGATTTTTTTTTTTTTTTTTTTGAGACGGAGTCTCGCTCTGTCGCCCAGGCAGGAGTGCAGTGGTGCAATCTCAACTGACTGCAGCCTCTGCCTTTGGGGTTCAAGTGATTCTTCTGCCTCAGCCTCCTGAGTAGCTGGGACTACAGGCACGCACCACCATGCCTGGTTAATTTTTGTATTTTTAGTAGAGATAGAGTTTCACCCTATTGGCCAGGCTGGTCTCGAATTCCTGACCTCCGGTGATCCGCCTGCTTTGGCCTCCCAAAGTGCTGGGATTACAGGCATGAGCCACTGCACCCAGCCGAGAATGATTCTTAAGGAAGAGAGACAAGCAGAGATTCTGGGTCTAGCTAGTTGACCACTTCTTCCCTGAAGCCCATCCTATCTCTGGCTCCTCCTGATACGGAAGTCATAAATCCCCTCTATGGTCTAAAATACGACCACAAGCCTCTCAGCTGACAAGTTAGTCTTGATGCTATTTGAATTCTGGTTCCAGTCAGCTGAAAAGCCAGGTCAATGGGATTTTCCCTCACCAGTGATTTGTTATATGAGTGATTACACTCTTGTTTTTTCTTAAAAAATATATTTTTTAAATTTTAATGAAAACTTAGAGACATATACAAAAGTAGAATAATATCAGGTTGGTGCAAAAGCAGTTGTGGTTTTTGCCATTACTTTCAATCTATCAACTAATGGTAATGATCCTGATTTGAATCTAATTCAGACATCCAATTAGAAACTTGACGCCCGCCGGGCATAGTGGCTCATGCCTGTAATCCCAGCACTTTGGGAGGCTGAGTTTTGCCATTACTGTCAATGGCAAAAACCACAACTACTTTTGCACCAATGTAATATAAGGCACTTGTTCTCAACCAGGGTTGAGGGTGTCAAAGGGGGCAAAAATTAGTTCTTGTGGAGGGAGTGAATAAATCTTAGGCAAATCTCTAAATAAGATTCTTTTAAGGCCAGGCTTGGTGGCTCACACCTGTAATCCTAGCACTCTGGTAGGCCCAGGTGGGTGGATCATTTGATTCCAGGAGTTTGAGATTAGCCTGGGCAACATGGCAAAACCCCATCTCTACTACAAAAAATACAAATATTTACCTAGGCGTGGTGGCGTGCACCTGTAGTCCCAGCTACTGGGAGGGGGCTGAGGTGGGAGGATTGCCTGAGTCTAGGAAGTCAAAGCTGCAGTGAGCAGTGATCACACTGTACTCCAGTCTGGGTGACAGAGTGAGACCCCATCTCAAAAAAAAAAAAAAAAGATTAAAAGCTAGTAACCACAATATTGTCATGCCTAAAACATTAAAAATACCTTCTTAATATCATAAAATACCCAATGTTCAAGGTTTTTTTGTTTTTGTTTTTGAGACAGAGTCTTGCTGCATTGCCCAGGCTGGAGTACAGTTGCACAATCTTGGCTCACTGCAACTCCTGCCTCCTGGGTTCAAGCGATCCTCAGCCTCCTGAATATCTGGGACTACAAGTATATGCCACCATGCCCGGCTTATTTTTTTGTATTTTTAGTAGAGAAAGGGTTTTGCCATGTTGGCCAGGCTGGTCTTGAACTCCTGGCCTCAAGTGATCTGTCCGCCTCAGCCTCCCAAAGTGCTGGGATTACAGGCGTGAGCCACGTGCCTGGCGTCAAGTTTCTAATTGGATGTCTGAATTAGATTCAAGTCAGGATCATTGCCATTAGTTGATAGATCTCTTAAGTCTATTTAACATAAAGTTCTCCATGGTTCTCTTTCTTTTTTCTTGTAATTTACTTGTTGAAGACACTGGGTCATTTGTCTGTAGAGTCTCTCACAGTGTGGATTTTGTAGATTGCATTCTTGTGGTATCATTTAACATGTTCCTCTGTGCTTTAATTTGTTGCTCGGCTTTTATTGGAGTATGGCTGATTGACAGTAAACTGCATCTATTTAGAATGTACAGTTTTATAAACTTTCACAGATGTATACATCCACGAAACCATTACCACAATTGAGATAGTGAACATAGCCTTTGTCCCAACGGTGTCCTCTTGACTGTCATCACTCCCCCATGGATGCCACCCTCCCATAAGAAAGCACTGTTCTCATTTGTGTTACTATAATTTAGTTTGCATTTCTTAGTGTTTTAGCTAGAATCATAGAATATGTACTTTTTTGTCTGGCTTCTTTCACTCAGCATAATTATTTTGAGATTATGTTGTTGTTTGCATAAATATTTCATTCCTGTTTATTGCTAAATAATATTCAATTGAATGGCTATATCATGATTTGTTGTTAGCCATTTGAATTTTTTCCAGTTTTTGGCTTTTACAAACAAAGCTGCTCTGAACATTTGGGTACAAGTTTTTACATGGATATATATTTCCTTTTCTCTTGGGAATTTCCTAAGAGTGGAACGGCTGGATCATATTGTAAGCATGTGTTTAACTGCACCCACCATGAGAGTGCCATTTCCTCTACATTCTCACCAATACTTGTTATGGTCAGTCTTTTTCACTGAAACCATTCTATTAGGTTGGTACAAAAGTAATTGCAGTTTTGCTCTCAAAAGTAATGGCAAAAACCCCAATTACTTTTGCACACACCTAATAATATGTGAGTAGTGTGTGTGTGTGTGTGAATTCTAGCTCCTTTGCTAGAATTTTAAAATTAGCTTGCTAATTTGTACAAAAAAATGCTCCCTGATATTTTTATTAAGATTGTGTTGCATATAGGGATCAAACCAGGAGAATTGCCATGTTAAATATTGACTATTCTGGCCGAGCGCGGTGGCTCACGCCGGTAATCCCAGCACTTTGGGAGGCCGAGGCAGGTGGATCACCTGAGGTCAGGAGTTCGAGACCAGCCTGCAAAACCCTGTCTCTACTGAAAATACAAAATATTAGCCAGACGTGGTGGCGGGTGCCTGTAATCCCAGCTCTTCGGGAGGCTGAGGCAGGAGAATCGCTTGACCCCAGGAGGCGGAGGTTGCAGTGAGTCAAGATCGTGCCACTGGGCAACAAGGGTGAAACTCCATCTCAAAAAAAAAAAAAAAAAAAAAAAGGACTATTCTGACCCAATAACCAGGTATATCTTTCTACTTGTTTGTCTTTGAGAGCTTCTTTCAGCAAGGTTTCATAGTTTAGAGTGTACTAGTCTTCTGCATCTTTTGTCAAATGTCTGTTTCACATTTTTAATGTTTTATAAATGATATTTTAAAAAGTTGTAATTTCTGATTGTTTCTGACATACAAAAATATAATCTGCCCTGGTCTACACATCTTGTATCCTGCAATCTTGCCCAAAGTCATTTATTCGTACTAGTAGCTTTTTTTTTTGCATTTCTTTGGATTTTCTACATAGACAAATACAGTTTTGCTTCTTCCTTTCTAATCAGGATGCCTTTTATGTATCTTTTTCCTTTTATTACTGGCTACGAACTCCAGAACAATGTTTAATAGGAGTGGTGAGAGCTTGTCTTGTCTTATTTCTGATCTCAGGAGGAAGGCATTCCGTCTTTCATCAGTAAGTTGATTTTTTGTTGTAAGTGGTTTGCAGATTTTTTTTTTAATCGGGTTAGGTTCCTTTCTGTTCCTAGTTTTCTAAGAGATTTTTTCTAAAAAATCAGGAATGGGCATTGAATTTTTTTGAATGCTTTTTATGTCTGTGTAAGTGATCATATGGTTTCTGTTTTGTAGTTACTATTGTAAGTTAAACATTGATTGATTTTTCTAATAATGACCAACCTTTAATTTCTGACACATAGTCAGTCCAATTGGTTATTATGCTTTTAGTATGTTGTCAGATTCAAATTGCTAAAATTTGTTTAGACTTTTTTTCCCTATCTGTATTTATGAGCATTATTGGTCTGTAGTTTTCTTTTCTCACAATGTCTTTTTCTGGTTTTGGTATCTGGGTAATGCTTGCTTCATGGAACAAATTGGGGGAATATTTGCTCCTCTTCAATTTTTTGGAAGAATTTGTGTAGAACTGGCATTTTTTCTTCCCCTAAATATTTGATAACATTCACGATGAAGTGATGTGGACTGGAAGTTTTCTTTGTGGGAAGGTTTAAACTACAACTGCAACTTCTAAAATAGATAAGGGGCTATTCCCCTTGACTATTGCTTCTTAAGTGAGCTTTTGTAGTTTGTATCTTTCATGAATTTGTCTCTTTAAGTTTTCAGATTTATTGGCATAAAGAGTACACAGTATTCTCTTATCCTTTTAATATCTATAGAATCTGTACTGATGGCACCTCTCTTATTTTTGATCTTGATAATTTTTATTTTCTTTCCTTTTTTCCTGATCTATCTGACTAGAAATTTATCAATTTTATTTATCTTTTTAAACAACTAGCTTTCATTTTCATTGATTGTCTGTATTGTTTTTCTATTTTGTAGTTTATTGATTTTCATTCTCACTATTTTCTTTGATGATGATGATGATTATTATTATTATTGTTGTTATTATTTGAGTCAGGGTCTTGCTCTGTTGCCCAGGCTGGAGTGCAGTGGTGTGATCTTGGCTTGCTGTGACCTCCGCCTCCTGGGTTCAAGTGATTCTCGTGCCTCAGCCTCCCGAGTAGCTGGGACTACAGGTGCATGCCACCACAACTGGCTAATTTTTGTATTTTTAATAGAAACGGTGTTTCACCATGTTGGCCAGGCTGGTCTAGAACTCCTGACCTCAAGTGATCTGCCCGTCTTGGCCTCCCAGTGTGCTGGGATTACAGGCATGAGCCACTGCACCCAGCCTCTTTGTTTATTTTAAATTTAATATCTCTTCTTATTCTAGTTTTGTAAAAGGAAAGTTGGACTCACTGATTTAAGATGTGATTATTTTCTTTTCTTCTTTTTTCTTTTGAGACAGGTTCTTGCTCTGTTACCCAAACTGGAGTACAGCTCACTGTAGCCTCAACCTCCTGGGCTAAAGCGATCCTCCCATCTCAGCCTCCTGAGTAGCTGAGACTACAGGCGCATGTCACCATGCCCAGCTAATTTTTAAAGCATTTTTTGTATGCTTTATGCTCTGTGTTGGCCAGGCTGATTGCTAATTCCCGGACTCAACACTTTGGCCTCCCAAAGTGTTGGGATTACAGGCAAGAGCCACTGCACCCAGCAGACCTTTATTATTTTCTAATATAGGCATTTAGTGCTATAAATTTCCCACTAAATGATGTGTTAGCAGCCTCCCACAGATTTTGATATGTTGTATTTTCACTTTCATTCAGTCCAAAATATAAGTGTCTTTTGACTTTTTTCTTTGATCCGTGGGTTATTTTGAAGTATGGTATTTAATTTCCCAACACTTGGGGGTTTTCCAGAGATCTTTTTGTTGCTGATTTTTAATTAATTCTATTTTTGTCAGATAACACACTTTTTATGACTTGAATCCTTCTGAATTTATTGAGATTTGTTTTATGACCCAGAATGTGGTCTATCTTGATAAATGTTCTATGTACTCTTGAGAAGAATGTGTATTCTGTTGTTGTTGGATGGAATGTTCTGTAAATGTCAATCAGGTCAAGTTGATTGATAGTGTTATTCATCTTCTATATTCTTGTTGACTTTCTATATAGTTGTTCTATTCATTATTGATGATATTAAAATTTCTGACTATGGTCGTGGATTTTTAAATTTCTCCCTGCAGTGCTATCATTTTTTACTTCATGTATTTTGAAACTCTGTTATTAGGTACATAGGTGTATAGAATTGTTATGTTCTTTTGATTAATTGTCCCCCTTTATTACAAAATAAACTTCTTTTTATCTTATAATAGTTTTTGCTCTGAAGTATACCTTGTCTAATATTAATATGGCCACTCCAGCTATCTTTGAACTGTGTTAACATGCTATATAATTTTCCATCTTTTTACTCAACCTATTGGTGTCTTCATATTTAAAGTGTGTTTCTTGTAGACAGCATAGAGTCTGGTCCTGCCTTTTAAAAAAATGCAACCTGGTAATTCCTGTATTTTAATTGGGAATGTTTAGATCACTTATATTTAATGTGTTTATTAATATAGTTACTTTGAAGCCTATCATCTTATTTGTGTTCTATTTCCCGTCATTCTTTGTTTCCTTTTTCCTTTTGTTCTGACTTTTTTGGATTAATTTTCATTTTATTTTTTAAAATTGACAAATAATAATTGTATATATTCATGGAAAGCATAGTGATGTTTCAATACATATAATGTATAGTGATCAGATCAGGGTAATTAGCATATTCATCATCTCAAACATTTTATTGTTTCTTTGTTTTGGGAACATTCAGTATCCTCATGGATTAATTTTTTTAATGATTCTATTTTATTTATTATTATTGTTTTTGAGACAGAGCCTTGCTCTGTTGCCCAGGCTGGAGTGCAGTGGTGCAATCTCAGCTTACTACAACCTCTTCCTCCTGGGTTCAAGTGATTCTCGTGCCTGAGCCTCCTGAGTAGCTGAGATTATGGGTATGCACCACCACGCCCAGCTAATTTTTTTGTATTTTTAGTAGAGATGGGGTTTCGCTATATTTGGCCAGGCTGGTCTCCAACTCCTGGCCTCAAGTAATCTGCCTGTCTTGGCCTCCCAATGTGCTGGGATTACAGGTGTGAACCACCATGCCTGGCCTGTGATTCCATTTTATATGGTGCACTATTAGTAAATTATTAGCTATAACTGTTTGTTTTGTTATTTTAGTAGTTGTTTTAGGGTTTATAAGGTATATGTTTATTTATTGCAATCTATCTTCAAGCAAGTACTATTATACCACTTCATGTACAGTATAAGCTTAGAATAATGTACTTCTATTGCCTCCTTCCTATTCTTTATACTTATTGTCATGTATCTTACTTTTGCTTATGTTTTAAAATCCAGACTACATTGTTAGTGTTTTTGTATGGTCAATTTTATGTAAGGAGTTTCAAAAAATTAAAAAAAATTATATATTTACGTACATAGTTACCATTTTTGGTATTCGTCATTCCTTTGTCTGGAACCAGATTTCCAGCTGGTATTATTTTTTTCTGCCCGAAGCCCTCACTTTAACATTTCTTATAGTGTGGATCTGCTGGTGATTAATTTCCTCAGCTTTTGTGAGTCTTTACTTCACTTTCATTTTTCAATATTTTAACTAAGTATAGTGAAAATATTTTATTGTCAATTACGTTGAGAATGTTTTTCTTTCAGTAGCCTAATGATGTTTATCTGCTGTCTTCTTGATTGCCATATTTCTGACAAGAAATCTGTGCCATCCTTATTTTGATTTCTCTCTACATGACATGTCCTTTTCTTTTTTCTTTGGCTGCCTTTAAGATGTTCTTTTGCTAAGTGGTCTTTACAAATTTGATTATAACATGTAATTTTCTTCAGTTTTTTTTTTCTTTTTTTTTTTTGGTGTGGGTGTGTGCTTGGATTCTTTGAGCTTTTTAGATCTATGGCAAGTTTAGAAAATTTTTGGTCGTTGTTTCTTCAGATATTTTTTCTGTCCCCACCTCACTCCTGTTATTTGGTGACTCAAATTATATACATAATAGGCTGCTTGACCTTGTCCCACAACTCACTGATACTTTTTTAAAATTAATAGACTTTATTTTTTAGAGCAGTTTTAGATGTACAGAAAAATCATGCAGATAATTCCCATATGTCCATTCTCCCCTCTCCTTCCTATAGCTTTTTTAGTGTTATACGTTAGTTACAATTGATGAACCAACACTGATCCATTATTGCTAACTCAAGTCCATAGTTTACATTAGGGTTCACTCTTTGTGTTGTACATTCTAGGTATGTTGACAAATGATGATATCATATATCCACCATTACAGTATCATACAGAATCATTTCTCTGCCTTGAAAACAATCCCCTATGCTCCACCTAAATGTACCTGCTTCCCCTAAATGTACCTGCTTCCCCTCTCCCTGGAAACCACTATCTTTTATTGTCTGTCTATATTTGCCTTTTCCAGAATGTCCTATAGTTGGAATCACACAGTATGTAGCCTTTTTCAAACTGATTTCTTTCATTTAGCAATACTCATTTATACTTCCTTCAGGTCTTATTATGGCTTGATAGCTCATCTCTTTTTATCCATCAATAATATTCTATTGTATATATGTTTGTTTTTACCATTCACCTATTGAAGGACATCCTGGTTGCCTCCAGTTTGGGGCAATTATGAATAAAGCCATAATAAACATTCATATACAGGTTTTTATGTAGACATATGTGTTCAACCCAATTACTTAAGTACCTAGGAACATGGTTGCTGGATTGTATGGTAAGAGAATGTTTAATTTTGTAAGAAACTACCAAATTGTCTTCTAGAGTGGCTGCAACATTTTGTATTCCCACCAGCAATAAATGAGAGTTCCTGAGAGTTCCTGTTGCCTCGGATCCTTGTTAGCCTCTGGTATTGTCAGATTTTTAGTCATTCTGCTAAATGGTATACAGCGCTATCCCATTGTTGGTTTGATTTGCAGTTTCCTAAAGACATATGATGTTGAGCATCTTTTCTATGTTTATTTGTAATTTATGTATCTTCTTTGATGAGATGTCTGCTTAGATTTTTTGCCATTTTAAATTTGGCTTGTTTGTTTCTTATTGTTGAGTTTTAAGAGATCTTCACATATTTTGGATGCCAGTCTTTTATGTGTTTGGCAAATATTTTCTCCTACTGTGTGACTTGTCTTTGCATTCTCTTATCAAGGACTTTCTGAGATCAGAAGTTTGTAATTTTTAATGAAGTCCAATTTTTCAAGTATTTCTTTCATGGATCAGGGTTTTGGTGTTGTATAATAAAAGTCATTGCCAAACCCAGGGTTATTTAGATTTTCTCCTATGTCATCTTCTAGTAGTTTACATTTAGGTCTATGATTCATTTTGAGCAAATTTTTATGAAAGGTGTAAGGTCTGTGTCTAGAACCTCCCCTCCCTCCATCTCTCCCTCCCTCCCTCCCTTCCTTTCTTCCTTCCTTACTTTCTTTCTTCCTTCCCTGTTGTTTCTGCATGTGATGTTGCATGTCCACTTGTTTCGGCACCATTTGTTGAAAACACTACCCCTTGCTCCATTGCCTTTGCTACCCTTGAATTGCCTTTGCTCCTATGTCAAAGATCAGTTGACTACTTGTATAGGTCTATTTCTGGTCTCTGTTCTGTTCCATTGATCTGTTCATCTATTCTTTTACTAATACTACACTGTCTTGATTACTGTAGCGTTACAGTAAGTCTTGAATCAGATATTATTGGTCCCCTGACTGTTTTTCCTTAGTACTGTGTTGGCTATTCTGGGTCATTCATCTTTCCATATAAATTTTAGAACCAGTTTGTCAAAATCCACAAAATAACTTGCTGAAATTTTGACTGGGATGGCATTGAATCTATAGATCAATTGACATCTTGGCAATATTGAGTCTTCCTCTTCATAAACATGAAGTATCTATTTATTTAGATTTCTTTTGATTTCTTTAATCAGTTTTGTAGTTTTCGTCATGTAGATCTTATACATATTTTATTAGACTCATAACCAAGTATTTTTAATGCTAATATAAATGGTATTGTGTTTGAAATTTCAAATTTCAGTGGTTCATTGCTGGTATATAGGAAAACAATTGACTTATGTATAAACCTTTTATCCTGGCAAGCTTGCTATAATTGATGATTGGTTCAGGTTTGTTAATTCTTTAGGATTTTTCTATATAAAAATCATGTCATCTGTGAACAAGGACAGTTTTCATTTATTTCTTTCCAGTCTGTGTATATTTATCTCCTTTTCTTGTCTTAGGTCATCAGCTAGAACTTTCAGTACAATGTTGAATAGGAATGATGAGAGAGTACATCCTAATCTTAGGGGGAAGACATCCAGTTTCTCATCATGAAGTATGACAGTAGCTGTAGGTTTTTTATAGATGTTCTGTATTAAACTGAGGAATTTCTCCTCTATTTCTAGTTTGCTGAATTTTTATCAAGATGGAGGTTGGATTTTGTCAAATGCTTTTTATCCATTTATTCATATGAGCATATGATTTTTTCTTTAGCTTCTTGATGTGACAGATTATATTTATTGATTTTGAATGTTTTTTAAAACTGTACAGATACTGTGATGATTTTAATTGCATATGAAATTAACTTCGTTATCTTCAGGCTTATCACATCAAAGGTTTACTTGCAAAATTGGACCTTTGTTCTTATTCAGTAAATCCGTGTTACAAGATGAGCCAGGATTTAGATATGTAAATATATGTAACTTTTTAGTATCTTTCATTTCAAATTAGAACCACATATTTGGAATTTACTGCTGTAGTCTCGTGATAATGGCTGACATGAGAAGACATTAAAAAAAAATCCTGAAGTTATCCATGCTTGCTGTTTATTTAGTCTTCTTGTTTGGAACAAAAAGTAAATAATTCACAAATACTACCACCTAAGCCCCTGTTTCAAATGAAACATCAGTCTTCAGCTTGCAAAATAATGTCTTTATAATTAAGGAAATAGCAGCAGAAAACCTATGCTAGTTGCTTTTTTCTTCCTGGAGAAGTTGACAGGATAACTGCAACCCTAGGGGCATCTCTGTGTTGAATCTGAGACGTGGAACAAAAAGAAAAGTGGCCTTTTCCATTCCAAGCCATGGAGGTAATGTGTAGAGAAGAGACAACCACATTTCAAGAAGAGAGAAAGTAACTGGATAAAAGAAGCAGGACTGCCCGCTTTAGGAGACAACATAGAGATACTTGCCACGTCCCGAGTTCAGAATTTTTTTTTTTTTTGAGATGCATATCAAGGCACCTAAAGTTCGAGAAAAGATGTTCTTCCTGTGTTAAGGAAGCTGCACTGGGGTTAATTTAAAAAGATGTCAGAAGTCGCAGAGAAGCGGTTCTCAAGCTTTTATGGAACACTGTCCTGTTTGAGAATCTGCTGATATTATGGACCTTCTTCTTTCTACAAAAATGTGTAATTGTGCATAAAATTTCCAATAGTTTATAGTCACCTACTTAAGACCTTTGCTTTAGAGTAGATTATTACTCCCCGCTGTAAGGTAGGGAAGAAAAATATTCCATTCCTTTCCTCTGGTTGATATCTTTTTTTCTTCTCCTTGCACAGTCCAACAGACACACTCAGCCTCCCAGAAAGCAGCTGGCCCCCTGGCCAAGAGGCCAGTTTGCAGCATCGTGATCATTCCACCATCTTTGCTGCCATTTGAATCTTGAATCAGCTTTGTGTACCTGTAATAAATTCCACTTAGCCATGGCATGTAGTTTTTTAAAAATACATTGTTGAATTTGATTTGCTAATGTTTTGCTGAAGATTTTTGTATTTATGTTCTTGAAAGATGTTGATCTGAAGTCTTCCTTTCTTGTAATTTCTTTATCTGGTTTTGATATTAGGGTAATGCTGGACTCACAGAATAAGTTAAGAAGTGTTCTGGAAGAGATGATAGAGAATTAGTATCATTTCTTCCTTAAGTGGTACAGTTTACCAGTGAAATCAGCTGGACCTGATGTTTTCTGTTTTGGAAGGTTATTAATTCTGGTTAAATTTTGTTAAAGATACAGGCCTATCAGATTGTCTATTGCTCTTTTTGTGAGTTTTGGTAGATTGTGTCCTTCAAGTAATTGGTCAATTTCAATTAAGTTATTAAATTTTGGACATAGAGTTGTTGATGCTCTTTTTATTTTTTTCTTTTTTCTTCTGTGTAATTATGGGTAATTTCTATGTCTTCAAGTTCACTCATCTTTTTTTCTGCGATGTCTCATCTGCTTTTAATCTTAGACATATTTTTCCTCTTAAACATTATAAATTTTATCTCTAGAAGTTTGATTTGGGTATTTTGTATATCTTCCATATCTCTACCTAATGTTGAATTTATAGAGTATAATTTTCATAACTGTTTTAATGTTCCTTTGATGATTTTTTTTTTTTTTTGAAATGGAGTCTTGTTCTGTTGCCCAGGCTGGAGTGCAGTGGCACAATCTTGGCTCACTGCACCTTTGCCTCATGGGTTCAAGCCATTCTCCTACCTCAGCCTCATGAGTACCTGGGATTACAGGTGCCTGCCATGACACCTAGCTTATTTCTGTATTTTTAGTAGAGATGGGGTTTTGCCATGTTGGCCAGGCTGGTCTCAAACTCTTGGCCTCAAATGATCCACCTGCCTTAGCCTCCCAAAGTGCTAGGATTACAGGCATAAGCCACTGCACCCAGCCTTTCTTTGCTCATTCTTACATCTGTGTCAGTTCTTGGTCAGTTTGATTTATTGATTATTGTCCTCATTATAGTTTGTGTTTTTGCCACCTCTATGCATGCTTGATAATCCCTGATGATTGAATGCCATATGTGAATTTTACTTTGTCAGGTGTTTAATATGTTTGTATTTTTATAAATATGTGCTCTGGAATCCAATTTACTTGGAAATAGTTTGATCTTTCTGGGGTCTTGCTTTTATTATTTGTTAGGAAGGTTTAGAGCAATGCTTAGTCTAGGACTAATTATTCCACATGACTAAAGAAAGACCCTTGTGAGTACTCCACCCAATGATCCGTGAATTGTTCGATTTTAACGTCTGCCTGGTGTCAGTAAGCACTGTTCTTAGCCCTGTGTGAGTGCGAGATACTATTGCTTTGAATCCTTTCAGATGTTTGTTTGTTTGTTTTTTTCCACAGCCTCAGGTTTCTTTTATATTTTGTTTGTTTTAGAGATGAGTTCTCACTGTGTTGCCCAGGCTGGAGTGCAGTGGCTATTCATAGGCATGATCATCACACACTACAGTCTTGAACTCCTGGGCTCAAGCGATCCTCCCACCTCAGCCTCCTGAGTAGCTGGGACTGTAGGCGTGTGCCCACCATGCCTGGCCTAGCCTCAGGTATTTTTATTGCATACATGAGTTGACCAGTACTCTGCCGTTTCCATGAGGGAGACCCACTGCAGATTTCTGGTGCTCTCTCTCTGGGCAGTTACCTTTTCTCTGCAATCTGCTCTAGAAACTCTGCTTTTGTCTCCCTTCCTGGAGTGGAAAATCTTAAGACAAAAAGGAGATCGTAGGTAGATATCAAGAAGAATCTAGTAGAAGAAATTTCTTACTCTCATATGCATCCACAGGCCAATGGAGATATTCAGCCCCAGAAAGTAAAAAGAAGCTTGCTTTCCAAATGATTCATCAGTTAGTGTTTTCTTTCAATGAATGGAAGATTTTAACACAAACAAGAGTTTGTAGGCAGACATTGAGAAGAAGCTCTATCTCCTCAATGTAGGGAGTCTGCTGGGATCTGCCTCAGTTCGCCTGCCCTGGGTTATGGTTGGGAAACTCTGTTAATACGGTGATTGGGGAAAATTACAGGGTTTGTCTTATTTTGCATCTCTCAGAGATCACTGTCCTTTGTTGTTGTCTGGTGTCCAGTGTCTTGAAAACTGCTATTTCATTATTTTATTTATATATAAATATATGTATTTTATATATAAAATATTAGATATATGTATATATATATTTGAGACAGGGTCTCGCTCTGTTGCTCAGGCTGGAGTGCAGTGGTGTGATCTTGGCTCACTGCAACCTCCGCCTCCTGGGCTCAAGCAATTCTTCTGCCTCAGCTTCCCAAGTAGCTGGGATTACAGGCACCTGCCACCATGCTGGGCTAATTTTTGTATTTTTAGTAAAGGCGAGTTTTCACCATGTTGGCCAGGCTGGTCTCGAACTCCTGGCCTCAAGTGATCCACCCACCTTGGCCTCCCAAAGTGCTGGGATTACAAGTGTGAGCCACTGTTCCCTGGCCTATTTCATATATTTTTAATGGTTTCTTGGTTGTTTTCAATGGTAGGATAAATCAAGATTCTGTTACTTCATCTTGGCTAGAAGCAGAAATTCTTTAAGTTTTTATTGTGAGAATTTTCAAAGATACAGAGTCGTTAAAAGAATGATACAATGATTATTTGTATACTTAGCACTTGGATTCAGGAACTGTGTGTGTGAGTGTGTGTGTGTGTGTGTGCACGCACGCCTGCCATGTTTATATATTTGCTGGACCATTTGAAACTAAATTGTAGAGGTATCAGGACATTTCACCACTAAATCACTAAACACATTGGCCTGAAACTCCTAAAAATAAGGACAGTCTCCTGCATAATCACACCACCAGTATCACACCTAAGAATATGAAATCATTCCCTTTATCATCTGTATTAGTTATCTGCTGCTGGGTAACAAAATACTCCAAAACATAGCATTTAACACCACAAATATTTTTTATCTCACAGTGCTCGACGGTTAGAAATCTGAAAGCAGCTTAGCTGGATGGTTCTGGCTCAGAGTCTCTCATGAGGTTGCAATAAAGCTTCCAGCTGAAGCAGACATCTCCAGGCTTGTTCAGTGGCTGATGTCTGGAAGCCTGAGGTTCTTTCTCCATTGCCCGATCTAGTCTACCTGAGCATTGTCACAACGTGGCAGATGCCTTCACCCAAAGCAAAGGATCTTTGTGTGTGTGTGTGTGTGTGTGTGTGTGTGTGTGAATGAGAGCGAGAGAGAGAGAGAGAGAGCAAGTACCCAAGACGGAAGCTGTAGTCTTTTATAACTATTCACAGCAGTGACTTACCATCACTTCTGCAGTATGGTATTAGACACATAGACCAATCCTAGTGTAATGCAGGAAGGACTATGTATGAGTGTGGGGGTGGGGATCACTATGGCCCATCTTGGAGGCTGGCTACCTCACCATTTAATATCTGATTCATCTTCAAATTTCTCCAAATGGCCTAAAAAAAAAAAAAAAACACAGAAAAACCAAAAACCAGGATCCATTGCATTTGGCTGTTGTATCTCTTTGGTCTTTCTAATCTATGACATTGGCTTTTTGAAAAGGCCAGTCTTCTAGAACGTCCCACAGTCTAGGCTTGCTGATTATTTCCTCACTTGACTTGTTCCTCTATCCCCTGTATTTCCTATGGATTGAAAGTTTAGTCTACAGGCCTTTTAAATTCAGGTTAAACATCCTGCCAGGAAGATATCATAGCCAAAGCTATGTACTTCACCCGGAGGCATATGTCAGGAGGGATTGCTATTGGCGATGCTGTTTGATCATTTGGTTCCAACTGCTTCTTAAACAGACTTTCAACCAGACTACCTGCTTTAAGTCCCATCTTCATGCCTCTTTCAGAGGTATTTGGTGCCTTCAATTCCTGAGGCCTTCTGGAGACTTGCAGTGCTAATCGGCCAGCTTCTGAGCTTCCCCACCAGTAGCCTAGGTTTCTGCTTCCTCTGGTCTGCTAAAACAGTTATTATCCATCTAGTTTCATTAGTTTTGTTGCTCTCATCTCCTCTTCTCACTGGAACCCTCTGAATACCTCCTCTAGGCATCTGTTCAGCTATGACTACATGGTTCAAATATTTTAAAGAAAGCTGCCTTTGGTTATATATCTTTTCATAGTTCCTGTTTAGAGATCACTGTCCTTTGGTTTTGTCCCAAACCAAACAAAACCCACATGTTGACTCTCATTTTGATGAACTCCATGGGGTGGCCCTCATTCTTGGGTCAGGGTAGCAGTTTCCAGATTCACTTACTAAGATCTACAAAGGATTAGTAAGTAGCCCTGTGAGGAAGGAATTTGAGGCTCCATTTTAGAGATGCAGAAATGGATAAGGTCAAGTCTCAATGTCAGTACATGGCAGAATCCAGATTTGGAACAAGATCTGCTTGCCTCAAAGTCTTTGCACCAGAGTGTAGTTGCAGTGAATATCACTTTAAATAAATGGAAGCCACTTATTAGAGGTGTTAATCTCTCTCCAGGTAACAGGAATTTATGATTGAGCCATGAATTTGTGTCTTACTAACTTTGTGCTCTTGGATGAGTTTCTTTGCCTCTTGGAGCCTTAGTTTTTTCAACTATGATGTGAGTTGATAGTACGTAACTCACAGAGGTTTCTTACGGGCTAAAGAAGATGCTGCTGCTTGCGAACGGGTTTCATGTAGCATTCTAAGGATATAAAATACAGAAGCTGACTCCCATGCCTATTGATTCCAGCCTGGAGATGGACATAAATACTACTGTGGGGACTGTGGGGGCTAGAGGCCACATGCTAGTTGCCATTGAAAAGGATGGGGGCAGCTGCAGTTCCAGCTCTTCCAACACGTGAGAACTTGAGCTCGGGATATAGATCTGATTTTCCAAGAGGAGCCAAAAGCCTCAATTTGTTTATGAACTCTCCTGATTGTTAAATGTTGGCATTTAATTGAAACAGAAATCGTGGGGACTACACAAAGTTTTTGGCTGCAGGTGACAGTTTTGGCAGCAAAGCTCCCATGGTGCCAGGCTCTGTGCTAGGGTGGCTGGGGACAAAGGCAAGTCAGTCGGTCCTCCCTGGGAGGCTGCGATCCAGGAGAGCAGCCTTCCATGGAAAAGGGGCACTATAATAGGATTTAGTGAAATGGGATTTGACCCACATTATCCTTGAGCTCCTTAGGCGTGGACCTGCAGAACACTTTTTGTAGCTGAAATTGAAAAAGTAAAACAATTTGCAGCAGGCAGAGCGAATGTCTTGGGAAACGTTTCTAGGGCTTTCATGTTTCCTGAGGGCTTCCCCTATCTCATTTGAGTTATTCCATTAAATGAGCAATAATCCTATTTTCCTGGGCAGGGGGCACTAAGGCTGATGGAAAATAAGGGTCTGAGAGTCATACAAGCTGGGAAAAGGGAGAGGCCAGCCTGGGACCCAGGCTCAGGTAGGGAAGGGGAATTGGGGCCTGACAATATTTGAACCCCTAATGTTCGTACTGATCTCATTGGATCTTCCAGGCAACCATGTAAGGTCAATCTCATTATCCTCACTTTATAGCATTAACTGAGGCTCAGAGGGATGAAATGACTATTCAAAGACACAAACCCAAGACACTCAGGAAGGTACAAAAATGTCCATGCGCTCCTGAAATCATCTGCAAAATGTTTTATGTTTGTACTTGTATCCATTTCCCAGGGTAAGGAGCTTAAAACTTTCAAAGGATTCTCCAAGGGGTCAGTGATTCTCAAAGATTAAGAGCCACTAATTTAAGCCAAGGCTATTCTGATTCCAAAGCCTGTTCTCTGAGGCCCCCTGTGCCAGACTCTGGTTAAGAGAACGTTCTTTAAAGTCAAACTCATATAAAACCCAGATCGTACTAGCTGTGAGACCTTATTTCCTCATCTATAAAATAGGGATTCAGCCAGGCGTGGTGGCACACACTTTTAGTCCCAGCTGCTTGGAAGGCTGAGGTGGGAGGATGGCTTGAGCCCAGGAGGCAGGGCTGCAGTGAGCTGTGATTGTGCCACTGCACTCCAGCCTGGGTGATAGAACGAGACCCCGCCTCTTTAAAAAAAAAAAAAAAAAAAAGGATTCATTTATTTCACAAATATTTTATTGAGCTCCTGGCTCTGATTCAGACACCATTCTAGGTGCTTCGGACACAGCAATGAATTAAACAGTGTCTCTGCTGTCATTATTCTTTTTTTTTTTTTTTTTTTTTTTTTGAGATGAAGTTTTGCTCTTGTTACCCAGGCTGGAAAGTGCTATGATGCGATCTCGACTCATCACAACCTCCGCCTCCTGGGTTCCAGTGATTCTTCTGCCTCAGCCTCCTGAGTAGCTGGGATTACAGGCATGGGCCGCCACACCCAGCTAATTTTGTATTTTTAGTAGAGATGGGGTTTCTCCGTGTTGGTCAGGCTGGTCTCAAACCCCCAACCTCAGGTGATCTGCCCACCTCAGCCTCCCAAAGTGCTGGGATTACAGGCATGAGCCACCGTGCCCGGCCCTGTCATTATTATATTCTGTGGGAGGATAAAGACAACAAGCAAGCAGATATTTGTGACATGGTGATAAGTGGTACGGAGGGAAATGAAGGGGTCAGTGGGGTGGGGCATGCTTCAGGGCTGGGGCTACATATTTTAGTGTATTCACAGAGTTGTACCGTCATCACCACTGTCCATTTTAAAGCATATTGATTACCTCAAAAAGAAACCCCATTCTTTTAGGCATTACCCAAGCCCCATAATAACCCCTCCACTTCTGCCCTAAGAAACTACTTATTTCTGTCTCTCCATGGATTAGCCTATTCTGGATGTCTCATAAAATGCAATCATGTAATCTGTAGTCTTTTGTGACTTGAAGCTTCTTCGTATAGTCTGGGTATAAGAGTTTTAAAAATCTGATAGACAGTTTGCAAATATGTTCTCTCAAGTCTGTGGGTTTTGATTTCCTTCTCTTAGCAACATCTTTTGAAGAGCAGGATTTTGACGAAGTCCAATTTATCAACTTTTTCTTTTATGGGTCATTCTTCTAGTGTTATAGCTAAAAAAACCTCTGCCTAATCTATGATCACAAAGATTTCCCCCTATGTCTATGTCTTCCTTTAAAGGTATTTTTTTCTAAAGAGAGACCAGAAATCTGTTTTCTGTGTGCGACGTCTCAATTTGTAAGATTAAAATGAAACACATTAAAAAAACAAACAGACATGTATATGGGCTAGAAAAGGGCCATAGACTATCAGTTCTCATATATTAGTTTATATTGCATGCAAAATTGCTTATATTTGGCCATTTTTGATCTATAAAAACAGCAGTTTCATGCTAATGGCCTTTGTAGGTTAAGCTGTAGGTAATCCAAGTGAGTCACAGGTGTGCATGGGTATCACCACTAAATCACTAAACACATTGGCCTGAAACTCTTAAAAATAAGGGCAGTCTCCTGCATAATCACACCACCAGTATCACACCTAAGAAGATGAAATCATTCCCTTTATCATCTGTATTAGTTATCTGCTGCTGGGTAACAAAATACTCCAAAACATAGCATTTAACACCACAAATATTTTTATCTCACAGTGCCCGACTGTTAGAAATCTGAAAGCAGCTTAGCTGGATGGTTCTGGCTCAGAGTCTCTCATGAGGTTGCAATAAAGCTTCCAGCTGAAGCAGACATCTCCAGGCTTGTTCAGTGGCTGATGTCTGGAAGCCTGAGGTTCTTTCTCCGTTGCCCGATCTAGTCTACCTGAGCATTGTCACAACGTGGCAGATGCCTTCACCCAAAGCAAAGGATCTTTGTGTGTTTGTGTGTGGTCTGTTTGTTTATTTGTTTTCTGGTCGAGGCCCTTGGGTTTGCTGAGCCTTCCCTATTATAGATGAAAAGAACAAGGCCTAATGAGGGGAAACGTCTTGCCTGAGGACACCCAGCCATTCTCTGCTTAGATGCATATGCATTATGAAACCCAAAGGTCCTCTGGCACTGTGCGCTCCAGAACAGAGCCCTCCGCAAACACTGTATTTGAGCTTCACATTTGAAATATGGATTTGAGCATTGTAATAAACAGAACAAAAACCCTTGGATATATTGCATACTAAATGTTAGCATCTGGAGATGGCCAGCACAGTTTCTTCTGCCATTAACTCAGTTGTCAGTAAGTTTGACACTGAAGTTTGTCCTGCTATCTCTGTACAAGTAAAGAGGACCCTAAAAATTGCAAGCAAAGCAAGGTTCTAAATACTGCTAGGATTTTCAACTGCTATTACTTGTTGACCTGGGATTTTCTTAATATATTTGCAACTTTAAAAAGTTTAAAAGTTTTGAAGCTTAAAGTCAGTGCTGAGGTTGAGACATGACTAAATCTGTCATCCATGATATCTAATTTCTTTGTTTGTTTGTTTGTTTTTTCAGACAGAGTCTCGTTCTGTCACCCAGCCTGGTGTGCAGTGGTTCAAGCCATTCTCCTGCCTCAGCCTCCCAAGTAGCTGGGATTACAGGCGCCCACCACCAAGCCCAGCTAATTTTTGTATGTTCGGTAGAGACGGGGTTTCACCATGTTGGCCAGGCTGGTCTCAAACTCCTGACCTCAAGCGACCCACCCGCCTCGGCCTCCCAGAGTTTTGCGATTACAGGCGTGAGCCACCACGCCCAGCGGAATTTCTTATTCTTTTTGATCTATCAAAACAACCTCATTGTTCTCAATGACTGACCTTATAATAAGTAAATGTTATAGAACATACAGTGTCATTTTCCTTTTCCAGTAGAGGAAGATTACATTTCCCAGAGTTTCTTGCCTTTGAATAGAGGCCTGTGACTGGATGCTGAGGGCCCCTGGGATGTGGGCAGACATGGAGTTTGTGGCTTCTTCCCCTTACACAGAGGCCAGAGCTGTATCATGGCAGAACCACAGATGGTGGGAGGGTGGGTCTCTGGACCACTGGTTGAGGGGTAGAGAAGATCTGCTAAGAAGAGTTCCCTGACCTGCACCGAACAGTGACAGGAGCAAGAAGCAAACCTTTGTGTGTTAAGCCACTGAGATATTGGGGTTTATTTATTACAGCAGATTCTGGTCTATCCTGACTAATACTGGATCAAACAAATAACGTTTCTTGCAAATCAAAACCACAATGAGATACCATCTCACGTCAGTTAGAAAGGAGATGATTAAAAAGTCAGGAAACAACAGATGCTGGTGAGGCTGTGGAGAAATAGGAACGCTTTTACGCTATTGGTGTGAGTGTAAATTAGTTCAACCATTGTGGAAGACAGTATGGTGATTCCTCAAGGATCTAGAACCAGAAATACCATTTGACCCAGCAATCCCATTACTGGGTATATACCCAAAGGATGATAAAGCATTCTACTATAGAAACACATGCACATGTGTGTTTATTGCAGCACTATTTACAATAGCAAAGACTTGGAACCAACCCAAATGCCCATCAATGATAGACTGGATAAAGAAAATGTGGCACATACACACCATGGAATACTATGCAGCCATAAAAAATGAGTTCATGTCCTTTGCAGGGACATGGATAGAGCTGGAAACCATCATCCTCAGCAAACTAACACAGGAACAGAAAACCAAACACTGCATGTTCTCACTCATAAGTGGGAGTTGAGCAATGAGGACACATGGACACAGGGAGGGGAACATCACACACCGGGGCCTGTTGGGGGGTGAGGGGCCAGGGGAGGGACAGCATTAGGACAAATACCTAATGCATGCGGGGCTTAAAACCTAGATGATGGGTTGATAGGTGCAGCAAACCACCATGACACATGTATACCTATGTAACAAACCTGCATGTTCTGCACATGTATCCCAGAGTGTAAAGTAAAATAAAAAATAAAAATTAAACACAAATAACATTTCTAATAAAACACAGCTCTTATCTGTTCTATGTTTTGGGTTCCGTGTATTGTTTATTGAAAAGTAAAAAAGTTTTCTGCTACAAAAGGTATCAAAATCAGCAATTGAGTTTGAAGTCAGAATCTTACAGGTAGGGAACTCAAAGACTGGAGAGGAGAAATAATTTGTGCAGGGTCACATACCTGAGGCAGGGCTAAAATCTCGCAGAGGGACATCTGTAGTTTTATCCTGTCCTTTCTTTTGGTAACAGCAGCTGAATTTCCTCATCTTCCTGCTCAGGCCACATGCTTCATATGGGATTCATTCTCATCCCTCAGCTCCAGGCCTGGTGAATCTATATCGTCTATCACCCAAGCCTCAGTGATTAGCTTGAGGATGGATGCATGACCCAGTCCAGACCAATCACAGCAAATCCCTGGGTTTTTGCTGGAGCTGCTCTCTGTGGATAGTTGAATCAATAGGATATAAGTCTGGAGCTACTGGGTGCTATCTCAGTATCTCTAGGTTGAGAATGCAGCTAACACAGAGGAAAGCAGAGCTGAAATGTGGAGAGAGCCAGACGATGCTTGATGGTGTTTGAGCACCTGGATCCAGCCATGCCTGAAGTTGGAGCTTTTAGTTACATGAACCAATAAGTTCCCTTTTGGTTTATGTCAGTTTTGACTGGTATTCTGACTTACACATACGGTTTTGTGCTTTTTTTCACCAAGGGACAGGAATTACTGTATTTTTCTGTTTTACTGATAAGGAAATGGAGGCTCAGTCCATTTGTAATCAGATGCTTCAAGTCTCACCAGATTCAAGGCTTGATGACCTCTCTTTTGTGTTGGGAATGCCCCACACAGGAACTCTTGTTTGCTTCTGCCCCCTGCTTCCGTGCAGACACACTATCCTGTTTCACAAGGGGGTGGTAAACCACTACAGAGTAGGTGCTAAAACATCGCTGAAATGAAATAAGGAAAGAATACCCCTTTAAAGAAACGGTGTAAAGTGTATAATGAGGCGATTCATCAAAAAATGCAAATGACTTAGCCCTAAAAGATACCAACTTCACTAATAATTAAGAAATACAAATAAAACAGCTATCATCTTTCACTCATGAGTTTGTCAAAGAGCTAAAGGTTTCCTGACAGCTGAGGGCAGGGAAATAGTCTCTCCTGGGCTGAGGCAGTAGGAGGGGAAGGAGCACAGCCTCTTTGGAGGGCACTGTGGCAATGTCTGTGAAATGTAAACACTGTACAAGCCATTTGCCCTCCAGTTTAGAATGTATTCTACAAAGAAACTCCAACAAATATGCAGAGATGCAAGTAAAAGACTGTCCAGTAGAGAATTATTTTTAATAGCAAAAACCAAAACCAAAACTGAAAGAAAACAAAACAAAACTGGAAACAAATGCCTACCAAAATGGGTCTACACGAACCCCAGTACATCCAAGACATGGAAGATATTTTAGCTGCAAAAAAGAATGAGGTAGCCCCAGATGTGTGGGGGTGGAAAGGTGCCCAGGGTATACCATGTTGTTAGGGGAGAACCGGATGTGTGATATGATGCTATTTATGCTGAAAATGAAATCTTACCAAAGTTAAGATGAAGATAAGTTGTGAAGTAGAATTAGGGGGTCAGGGGACTTCTGTTTTCAATGAATTAATCTTCTTTACAATTTGATTTTTTAAAATTATGAAAATATGCACCTTACTATTTACTCATTTGAATACCCAATAATGCACAAAAATTCAGAAGGCACAAGGTGGAGATGTATAATTCTGCAGGTCTCTCAACTATCTGATACAGAATTAATTTATTCCCGGCATGCATTTAGTGTATTTAGAAGAAGGAGGAGAAGTGAGTGAGAAAGGGTGGGGGACACAGGCAGCGGCTGCTCTGCGGTCGGCAGCTGTGGTCAGGTGTGGAGGTGGGCTGCCCTTTTTGGGGTCACTCTATCCTTGGTTTCCTGGCATCAGGCCTTCCTAACCCCGCTGGAGCAGTAGTGAAGGACTTTGGTGATGCCCTGCCCATGGCTCCTGGCTGTGGTTCTTCTTGGTCTGGGTCCCACATCTCAGGGCTACAGGCAGTGAGGCGCTGGAATCCCCCAGGACTGTCCCGCTTCTTGCCAGCTCCCCTCCAGCCAGGCCTGCCTGGCGGATGCCCAAACACTCATCAGGCAAGACAGGTCTGTAGGCAAATATTGATCCCTGTGCGGCTGCGGGCGGTGAGGGGGCAGCAGGTGTGGCACAGAGTCCTGTTTACCTGCCGCTGAGCCTGGCGGGCGCTGCCTATTTGCTGAGCTCCCTTCCCGGCCTGGCTCAGGTGAGGCGAGCTCTGCCCTCTTTCTCCCTCCCTCCTCCCTCTGCTGTGCTGTTCAAGGGGGCTAGTCATTCTTCCCACCTCTTTGCTGGGCTGACTGCTGCTCATTCTTGTGTCTCAGCTTCCACACTCCCTCTTCAGGGCCTCCCTGTCTACCCTCACTCCAGAGTGGCCGTTGCCGCGGCCCACAGTTCCCCACCTACCAGGTTAGTGTTGCTGTTCTCTGCTAGATGCCAGATGAGCAGAGACGGGGACAGTTTTGCTCACCACTATTTCTCCAGCCCCTCCGTTAGGGCCTGGCACTCGGGAGGTGCTCCTCAAGTATTTGAGTGTCAGCCTGAATGAAGGCAGGCAGAGAGCCCTGCATGGGCAAAGGCACAGAGGTGTGACAGAGGGTAGTGAGGGGAGGGGGGCGGTGACGATGTATGGTGGGGAGCGGCAGGACAGGAGGCTGGAAAGTGAGGTGGGGTACTGAGCACCTCCCTGTCCTCCCCTTACTCTGAAAGCCTTTGAATGCCACATCTGGGAGTTCAGATTTTATCTGGTCAGAAATGGGAAATTGTTGGGTAAAGAAAATGCAAATAATACAACCAATGAGAGAATGACAAGCCAGATCCTTCATGCTGAATGGTAAATTCTGAAGTTCCTACAGTGGCCTGTGAGGCCCTGTAGCATCTGCTGCCCACCACACCCCTTCCCCACCTCCTTCCCCTACTTGCTGCAGCCACACTGGCCTGCTTGCTGTTTCCTGAACTTCACAGGTATAATTCAGCCTCAGGGCCTGCTGTGGTCCAACTGTGTCCTTCTGAATCTATGTTGAAACCTAATCCCCAGTGTGAGGGTATTAGGAAGGGGGCCTTTGGGAGGTGAGTAGGTCATGAGGGTGGAGCCCTCACAAATGGAATTAGTGCCCTCATCAAAGAGGCCCACCTTGTCCTTTCCACTGTGTGGGGACATGGTGAGAAAGTGCCATCTGGGAACCAGAAAGCAAGCTGTCTGTCATTAGACACTGAATCTGCTGGTGCCCTGATCTTGGACTTCACAGCCTCCAGAATGGTTAGAAGTCAATTATTTGTTTATAAGCTTCCCATTTTATGGTATTTTGTTAGAGCAGCCCCAACAGACTAAGGGCCTTTGCACTTGCTGTTTCTCTGCCCAGATGCTTTTCCCTTGGATATCATGGTTTATCTCCTTTCTTTGTTTGAACCTTAGCCTCCTATGGCACCTTACCAGAGAGGCCTTCCATGACACTAGGAACAAAGGAGCGTCACCCCACGCCCCCATGCCCTGATCCTGCTTTATTTTCCTCTCTAGTATTTGTGTCTGTTTACTTGTCTAGTGTATGTCTTTTCCCCAGGGATGTCAGCTCTGAGAAGGCAGGAATATGTCATTTCTCTGGTTCCCTGCTGTGTCCTCTGAGCCCAGAACATGTACCTTTAGGCTCAATAAATGCTTGTAGAATAAATGAATGAATGACTGTGTAGTATTAAGCTAAGCCACCCTGGTCCTGGAATGATGTTAACTGTTGCTCACATGCTCTGTCCTGTTGCCAGATCCCACACACAGCTTTGAGCTCCTTTGCTCTGCACATTAGCCAGGTGGGGAGTGCAGGTCAACATTATTATCTGCCTTAAAAAATAATTATCAATGGCACAAAAACATCATGATCACCTGGACAGAAACCAAAATGAAATGCCTGCAGGCTCCTGACTTGAGCAAATCAATTTCTAAAATATGATGTGCAGGAATTGTGACAAAGAGGATGGAATCTGCATTTCGAGACAGGTTTTCCCTGTGTTCAATTCCCAGCTCAGCTATTTACTTGCTCTGTGACCTGGGACCATTCAGGCCCCTTCTGTAAGCCTCAGCTATCCCTTCTGTCAATGGAGATAATTATTCCCTTGCAGAGATCTAGTGAAGAAGGCATTTGGACATAGGCATTTCCTGGGCTGCACCATCTACTGTGTATCCTTTTTGGTGCCTGCATAATATTCCACCAAGTAGAGTCACAGGCTTTGTTTAATCAGGTGGCTATTTCCAGACGTGGTAACAATAGCCTCTATTTACTGATCCTGCTAAGCGCCAGGCCAAGCACTGCACCTTCCTCATTTCTCCTTCAGTCCTCACTGCAGCCCCATCAGGTGGGTGCTGTTAATATTTCCATTTTGCACATGAGGTTAGGCAGCTTGCCCAAGGCCACGCAGCCCCACTAAATGGAAGATATGGAGTTGAAAGCCAAGTTGTCAAATCCAAGAGCTTTCAACTCTGTGCTTTGGTGGGACTTTTGTCCCCCATTTTGCAGATGGAAAATGAGGCTTGGGGAGGCCAGCAACTTGCCCAGGGCAACAGCGAGCAGAGCTGGGATGAGTCGGAATCCAAATCTACCAATTGAGATGGAGTCTCACTCTGTCACCCAGGTTAGAGTGCAGCAGCGCAATCTCGGCTCACTGCAACCTCCACCTCCTGGGTTCAAGCAGTTCTCCTGCCTCAGCCTCCCGAGTAGCTGGGACTACAGGCATGCACCATGACACCGGCTAGTTTTTGTATTTTTAGTAGAGATGGTGTTTCACCATGTTGGCCAGGCTGGTCTCAAAATCCTGACCTCAAGTGATCCACATGCCTGGGCCTCCCGAA